>NC_000003.12:196574564-196725564 GCF_000001405.40 Homo sapiens
CGGATTTCATTATCATCGTGTTGCTTGACATGTTCTTCTGTCCTCTATTTCCTACTGAGGTGTGATCAATTTAGATTAGATTAGATTTTTTTTGCAAGTTATTTTGTACTAGACTCAGTGGTTAAAAGTGTGTTAGAAAATAAGAGCTGCTAAATTGTTACGTGGCACAGAAAGTGGTGGGCAAGCACCCGGCAGAGAGAGACATCAAGGGAATTGGGTGGCCCTGGTTAAGAATAGCTTAATAGAGGTGATCTTAGAGAATGTGTGGGAGAAGAAAGCACATATAATACTTTCAGCAAGAAGAACATCATCAAGGTAGAAAGGGAAATAGGAAGAATCAGATTTGGAGGGCTGTGAAAGCCAGGCAGAAGAATTTGCAGTTGGTGATGCTACTAAGTATGGAACTACCAGAGGTTATAGAACTGGGATGAGATATGTAGTAAAGGTGCTGTTTTAGAAAGACAGGTTTGGAAATAATTCAGATAGAGAGTTGAGGACTGAGTTTGGAGAATTTGGTTGGGGCAGAGGAAGGGTGGTCACCAAAAAAGGAAATGATACAGGATCAGTTCAGGGAAATAGGAAGATGTCATAGAAGTTTGAGGAAGAGAGGGCCGGGCGTGGTGGCTCACGCCTGTAATCCCAGCACTTGCGGAGGCCAAGGCAGGCGGATCACCTGAGGTCAGGAGTTTGAGACCAGCCTGGCCAACATGGTGAAACCCTGTCTCTATTCAAAATTCAAAAATTAGCCGGGTGTGGTGGTGCACGTCTGTAATCCCAGCTACTCGGGGGAGGCTGAGACAGGAGAATCGCTTGAACCCAGGAGGCAGAGGTTGCAGTGAGCTGAGATTGAGCCACTGCACTCCAGCTTGGGTGACAGAGTGAGACTCTGTCTCAAAAAAAAAAAAAAAGAAAAGGAAGTTTAAGGAAGAGGTTGTCAATAGTGTCAATGTGAAATTGGAATTTATAAGAATTGGGGAGTAGGCATAGGGAAATATTAATTAAATATTTTATAGTGAATTATTGATATTATTCTCTTGAGTTATTTAGACAGTATTTGCTATTTTGGGGACATGTTCCTTCCCCATTTAATCTTCTTTTCCTTTCTTTTCTTTGTTTCTTTTTTTTTTTTTGAGACAGGGTCTCACTTTGTCACCCAGGCTGGAGTGCAGTGGTGTGATTTTGGCTCACTGCATCCTCTGCCTCCTGGGCTCAAGCATTCCTTCTGCCTCAGCCTCCCAAGTAGCTGGGATTACAAGCGTGCACTGCCACGCCCAGCTAATTTTTTGTATTTTTACTAGAGTTGGGGTTTCGCCATGTTGCCCAGGCTAGTCTTGAACTCCGAGTTCAGGCGATTTGCCCACCTTGCCTTCCCAAAGTGCTGGGATTGCAGGGGTGAGCCACCGCGCCCGGCCCCTTCATTGAATCTTACGTTTTGGTCTTATAAGTGCCTTAAAGTATTTTATAATACGAGCAGATAGGAAAAACATTGGGAATGCCTCAGTTTTATTGTGAATGCATGGGATACTGGAAACAAATAGTTCTCTGTTTTTAAATCTGCGCTCTGCAGCTCACTGAAACGGTAGAGTGCCAGCGAATGGTAAACGAACAGGTGGTGAGGGGACTGGATCCTTGATCTCTCTTTGGGCCTCTTGCACTAACTCGCGGTTGAAATCCCTGAGAAGGACTAGGTGACCTTTAAGGGTCTTCCTAAATGCTGACATTCTATGCCTCTGGAGTTGATTTTTCTCAGGTTAGCTGAAGCATAGGTCCCAGCCTTCCACTGCTTTGGGTAGTTTGACTAAAGTAGAGAAGGGATTTTTTAAAAACATACTAGCCAGGCAGGCGTAGTGACTCGAACCTGTAACCCCAGCTACTCGGAAGACTGAGATGGGAGTATCACTTGAGCCAAGGAGTTCAAGGCTGCAGTGCGCTACGATTGTGCCACTGCACTGCAGTCTGGGTGACAGAGTGAGACGTTGTCTAAAAAAAATTTAAAATACACAAACTAAAAGTTTAAAATTGTTTATGAGAAATTGTTATTGTTTGTATAGAAGAGCTATTTTCATACCCTCTTTATTTTGGAAGTGTAAACCTTTGTATTTACTGAAGAGTCAACTAACTTGTCTTATTGATAGCTTCTCTTCATAAATTCTAGTAGTTGAACCTAGATGCTATCTAAGGGATTATTTGATTTGGTAAAATGAGATTGGTGATTTTTTTATTGTGTAAGTCATATCCAGCAAGTAGGCTGAGGATCTAAGGTAGTTTGTGTTTACTAAAATTTTTCATAAACTTTAGAGCTGCTAGGATTAAAGTTTCTGTTTTATGTAAAATATAATTCTTTTTGATGACAGCATTGCCCATATGAAAACTGTACATCTCAACTTTTTGGTATAAAAATATCAAATATAAACAAAAGTAGAGAAAATAGTTTGATGAACTTCCTTATACCCATCACCAAGCTTTGCCAATGATTAATTTATGGCCAGTCTAGTTTCATGTTTCTATTGCACACTCTCCCACTCCATCTCTGGATATTTCAAAGCAATTCCCAGATACCATTATTTTATCCATAAACGTTTCAGTATTATCTGTAAGATATAAGGATTTTTCTTTTTTGTATCTTTTGATGTTTTAAGAAGTCTGTTTGAGGAAATACTACAATTTAAAATTTTGGTCAGTGATGAAACGGTTGGCATTTATTTTTTAATGTTATTTATTCTGTTAGTATTCCATCCTGAAACTTCAGCCATTATTTGGAAATACTTGTGTTATTTTAAAATATATAACTTCGTTATTTAAAAACATACAGCGTGAAGTTTGGGTAATTTTTAATATTTAAGAAAAATAAAATTGTTATTTATTTGGTCTGTTTTTCATCTTTTTAGATACGTGCTTTTCAACATGCCTTCAGCACTAATGACTGCTCCAGGAATGTCTACATTAAGAAGAATGGCTTTACTTTACATCGAAACCCCATTGCTCAGAGCACTGATGGTGCAAGGACCAAGATTGGTTTCAGTGAGGGCCGCCATGCATGGGAAGTGTGGTGGGAGGGCCCTCTGGGCACTGTGGCAGTGATTGGAATTGCCACAAAACGGGCCCCCATGCAGTGCCAAGGTTATGTGGCATTGCTGGGCAGTGATGACCAGAGCTGGGGCTGGAATCTGGTGGACAATAATCTACTACATAATGGAGAAGTCAATGGCAGTTTTCCACAGTGCAACAACGCACCAAAATATCAGGTGAGAAACTGGGGTTTTTCTCAAGTATGGGCCTTTGTCAAATCACGCCTTAATTTGTTTTAAATTTACAAATTTTTATATAGCAGTTTTTGTCTTTTTGGTAATTTTTATTTTTATTATTTTTTTATTTTTTCAGATACCCAGACTTCAAGGAGATTTTTTTTTTTTAATGTTAGGGGGTTATAGTTAATTTTGTTGGGTGTTATATTTTGATTTTGGCTATGCAGAAAAATATTCTTTTTTTTTTTTTAGACAGAATCTCACTCCGTTGCCCAGGCTAGAGTGCAGTGGCGCCAACTCGGCTCACTGCAACCTGCACCTCCCAGGTTCAAGCAATTCTCTGCCTCAGCCTCAGTAGTTGGGATTACAGGCGCCCACCACCATGCCTGGCTAATTTTTGTATTTTTAGTAGAGACAGGGTTTCACCATCTTGGCCAGGCTGGTCTTGAACTCCTAACCTCGTGATTCACCTGCCTTGGCCTCCCAAAGTGCTGGGATTACAGGCGTGAGCCACCATGCCCAGCCTCAAGGAGATTTTTTGACCATTTTTAAATAAATGTATAAATGATCTATCTCAATATTTGTTTCCTAATACAACTTTAAGCAGCCTATTTTTGCTCCAGATCAGGGGTTGGCAAACTTTTTGTAAGGGCCACGTAGTAAATCTTTAAGTCTTTGCAGTCCATATGGTCTCTGTCACAACTTTTTTTTTTTAATGTCATTTTCAAGGTAAGGATCTATCACGAGTTTCAACTCTATTTATAGTACAAAAGCAGTCATCGATAATACGTAAATGAACGAACATGGCTGTATTCCATAGACCTTATTTATGGGCTGCAGGACAGATTTGGTCCAGGGGCTGTAGTTTGCCAGTTCATGCTCTATATCAAGCTTGTCCAACCCACAGCCTGCATGCAGCCCAAGATGGCTTTGATTGTGACCCAATGCAAATTCATAAACTTTCTTAAAACATTATGAGATTTTTTTGCAATTTTTTTTTTTAAAGCTGATTAGCTATCTTTAGTGTTAGTGTATTTTATGTGTGGCCCAAAACAATTCTTCCAGTGTGGCCCAGGGAAGCCAAAGGATTGAATACCCCTGCTCTAGATGGTCATCTTTCCTGTATCACGGCACATCCAAATCTTTTTCTAGGCTCCTTACCCCAGTAAATACAGCTCTGTGCATGCACATGTTTGTGGATTCAAAGCCCCTGGAGGCATCAGTGAGTTCTGCAGAGACAGGCAAATTCAGGCAAACTGCTGTATTTTTTATTCTTTTCATCTTAGGCTTAAGGCATACTCATTTGACTCAAGTTAAAATTATAGTTCCTATTTGTAAAAGCCGTATTTATTACTACAGACTTAACAGGGTGTAATATACAATAATCTGATAAGAAATTGGAAGTCTTTAAAGAACTATAGATTGCATATTTCAGAGCCACCTGTGGCGTGAAAGTTCCAGCCTCAGTAATGACCTCAAGTCAGGCATACTAAAGCAGAAGAACCAAAAATACATCCCATTTTCTGAGGTATAAAAGCTGGAAGGATTTTTTTCATGGAATGTTTCCTCACTATCCTTTTAGGCTCTGCGGATACTATAAGGAGAAGGGTGTGTAGACTTTATCACTAAAAACGAAGTCCTGTCGCCACCCTTGTAATGATTTTGTAAGTGAAAGTCCTTAAGTCTGTTTTTCAGAGAACATGCTCTATGGTTTTAGTCCTTTTAAATTTATTGAGATTTGTTTTATTCTAATATGTGGTCTGTCTGGATGAGTGTCCCATGTGTGCTTGAAAAAATGTATATTCTTTTGCTGAATGGAATATTCTGTAAATGAGAATTAGGCAAAGTCGATTGATAATGTTCAAGTCTTACATAGTGTTACTGATTTTTTTCTACCCTTCTATTATTTACTAAGAGGAGTATTGAAATCTCCATCTATCCTTGCTAATTTGTCTTTCTTCTTTTAGTTCTCTCAGTGTTTGCTTCATGTATTTTGGAGCTCTGTTACTACTGGTGCATATACATTTCTAATTGTTTTATCTCCCTGCCTGATTTATTCTTTTATTATGAAATGACTTCCTTTGACTCTAGTAATCCTCTGTCAATCTGTCTTTGTATTTAAAGTGGAGCTCCTACACAGCACATAGTTGGATCTTGATTTTTATCTAACCCAGTCTCTGTCTCTGACTTTTTTTTTTTGAGACGGAGTTTTACTCTTGTTGCCCAGGCTGGAAGTGCAATGGCGCAATCTCGGCTCACCGCAACCTCCACCTCCCAGGTTCAAGTGATTCTCCTGCCTCAGCCTCCCGAGTAGCTGGGATTAGAGGCATGCGCCTCTAAACCACGCCCGGCTAATTTAATTTTATATTTTTTTAGTAGAGAAGGGGTTTCTTTTTTTTTTTTTTCTCCTTTTGAGACAGAGTTTCACTCTTGTTGCCCATGCTGGAGTGCAATGGCATGATCTCAGCTCACCGCAACCTCTGCCTCCCGGGTCCCGGTTCAAGCAGTTCTCCTACCTCAGCCTCTTGGGTAGCTGGGATTACAGGCATGCGCCACCACACCCAGCTAATTTTTGTATTTTTAGTAGAGACGGGGTTTCACCACGTTGGCCAGGCTGGTCTCGAACTCCTGACCTCGTGATCCGCCTGCCTCAGCCTCCCAAAGTGCTCGGATTACAGGCATGAGCCACCATGCCTGGCGAGACGGGGTTTCTCCATGTTGGTCAGGCTGGTCTCGAACTCCCAACCTCAAGTGATCCACCTGCCTTGGCCTCCCAGTTGCTGGGATTACAGGTTGTGAGCCACTGCGCCCAGCTTCGGTCTCTGACTTTTAAGTGTTTAGTTCATTTACCTTTAATGTAAGTGTTGGATTGCTTGATGTTGTCCTTATCTCTGCCTCTAAAACTATGTTCTTGTTTTTTCCCCCAACCTTGTTTCTCTCTAATCTTTGCATTAGATAATTTCTTTTCCTTTTTTTTTTTGAGATAGGGTCTCGCTCTGACACCTCGGCTGGAGTGGTGCAGTGGTGCAGTGGCGTGATGATCTTGGCTCACTGAAACCTCTGCCTCCCAGGCTCAAGTGATCATCCCACCTCAGCCTCCAGAGTAGCTGGGACTACAGGTGCTCCCCACCAATGCCTGGCTAATATTTGTATTTTTTGTAGAGACAGGGTTTTGCCATTTTGCCCAGGCTGGTTTCAAACTCCTGAGCTCAAGCAGCTGCCTGCCTCAGTCTCCCAAAGTGCTGGGATTATAGGCATGAACCACTGGGCTTGACCTAAATTAGATAATTTCTGTTCTGTCTTCAAGGTTATAAATTTTTTTCTTTTGCCATCTCACCTCTGCTATTGAACTGGGCTAGTAAATTTTGCTTATTGTACACTTCAGCTTTAGAATTTCCTTTTTTTTCTTTTTCCTTTTTTTTTTTTTTTTTTTTTTTTTTTTGAGACAGTCTCACTCTGTCGTCAGGCTGGAGTGCAGTGGCACGATCTGGGCTCACTGCAGCCACCGACTCCCGGGTTCAAGTGATTCTTCTGCCTCAGCCTCCTGAGTAGCTGGGACTACAGGTGTGTGCCACCATGCCCAGCTAATTTTTGTATTTTTAGTAGAGATGAGGTTTCACCATGTTGGCCAGGATGGTCTCGATCTCTTGACCTCGTGATCCGCCCGCCTCGGCCTCCCAAAGTGAAAGTACTGGGATTACAGGCGTGAGCCACCACACTGGGCCTGGTTCTTTTTTAGAGTAAATTTCCTTTTCGAGATTCCTTATTTATTTACTTATACTATATTTGTAAAAAAATCTTTGGACATATTCATAACAGCTGCTTTGAAGTCTTTACCAAATCCAACACTTAGGACCACTTGGATTCAGCTTCTGTTGATTGCTTTTTTCCCCTAAATATGAATCACGCTTTCCTGTTTCTTTTCATATCTAGTAATTTTTTTAACTGAAACCTAGATGTGTAGATAATATGTAGTAGTAACTCCTGAATGTTTTGTTTCTAGAAACTGCTTTATTCTCTGAAAAGTATAGGTTTTCTTGTTTTAGTAGGCAGTTAACTTGCCTATACTCAAACTATAAACTCTGTCTCATGTGATGTGTGGCAGCTAATGTCTGCTCAGTTTTTTCAGCTTTGCTGCTTTTTTAGTCCTGGAGGTTTACCCTGTGCCTTTGTAATATAGTGGTCACTCAGGGATTTGGGAAGTTAATTCTCAGATTTTGGGGTTCATCCTTTCTGTGGTTCTGTTGCTTCTGGAGTTCCTCCTCTAAGTTTCCAGTTGCTCTGCCATCTCCCCACGTTTTACCCCAGCACCTAAAGATGGTAAGACTTCGCTTTCTCCACCCTGGGCTTTGTGCGTGCTGTGTGCTCAAAGGTGAAGCAGATTTGCAGATTTCACCAGGAGTAATCGTTACTTAGTTTCAACTTCTGTAAAATAGGGATAGTTCCTAGGATTAGTGTGAGGATTAAATGGGATAATACAAATACGACACAACACAAATACCCAACAAAATTAGCTTTTCATTTCTACTTTGTTAATATTTTGTTGGTAGGAGTGGTGGTGATGATGATTTGGAGGTTCTTAGATCCATAAAATGAGGTGTGGGTTAATCTGTGAGGTGGGCAAAGGGAGGAAAAAAGCAGATGTTGGCAGTTACTGTTAACAGGAAATACAGTGAAGGAAAGTAAATGACAATAGTAGGGGTTATAATCAGGTAGAATTAAATTTTGATTGCAAACATTAGGACTTTCTGTTTCCAATTTTGTAGATGCAACATCTTTTTATAAAGGCAAACTAAAAAGATGAAACATCCTTTTTTTTTTTTTGCTTACTTTTCCAAATGGGAAAAAACTGGATATATTCTGCTTCCAGTTTCGTTTAATAATCAGTGCTGCTGTTTTTTATAACAAACAGGTGTTTCAGAGTTGTGAACCACAAATTGTTTAATAAGCCTATTCTATATTCTACATTAGAATTTGTAGCCAGATTGGATTATTCATGATTCCACATTACATGTGGAACTGCTTTGTAAACTTTAAAAGCTGTGTGTCTTACTAAGGTGATTTTTAAAATTGTGGTGAAACATACATATTTATTATTTTAACCATTTGTAAGTATACAATTCAGTGGCATTAAATACATTCACACACCTCTCTCTATACCCAAAACTTTTTCCTCACCCCAACATAATCTCTATTATGTTCATTCCCTATTTCCTTCACTCCCCACCCCTGGTAAACTCTGCTCTACAACTATATATATTTGAGTATTCTAGATACTTTATATAGGTGGAATCATACCATTTAGCCTTTTGTGTCTGGCTCATTTCACTTAGCATAATATTTTCAGGGTCTATCTATGTTGTAGCATATATCAAAATTTCATTTCTGTTTATGGCTGAATAATATTCCATTGTACGGCCGGGCGCGATGGCTCATGCCTGTAATCCCAGCACTTTGGGAGGCTGAGGCAGGTGGATCACGAGGTCAGGAGATGGAGACCATCCTGGCTAACACGGTGAAACCCGTCTCTACTAAAAATACAAAAAATTAGCCGGGCGTGGTGGCGGGCACCTGTAGTCCCAGCTACTGGGGAGGCTGAGGCAGGAGAATGGCATGAACCCGGGAGGCGGAGCTTGCAGTGAGCTGAGATTGCACCACTGCACTCCAGCCTGGGCGACAGAGCAAGACTCCGTCTCAAAAAAAAAAAAAAAAAAAGTTCCGTTGTATGTATAGTATAGTAATTTGAGAAGCTGATTTAGATTGCTCTTTTTGGTAAAATATGCCAAGTTATAGATTTTAGTGTTAACCTTAAGAAAAACCTTTAAACAAAGAGTAAATAAAATCAATCTAGGTAGTGTTCAGGTGGAACATTTAAATTGTAAGTAATTAAGTGTAGATTCCATGTGAGTCTTAAAAACAAAACTATCAAAGTAAGCATTTGTGATGTGTTACCTAGGCTGGAGTGCAGTGGGCAGTGGTGCGATACCAGCTTTGCGCCACCACACCCAGCTAATTTTTGTATTTTTAATAGAGATGGGTTTTCACCATGTTGCCCAGGCTGGTCTTGAACTCCTGGGCTCAAGCAATCCGCCCGCCTCAGCCTCCCAAAGTGCTGGGATTATAGGCATGAGCCACTATGCCCGGCCAGATGTATGTCCTTTTTTTATAGATGTTTCTTCCTGACTAGAAAGCTTCCCTTCTGATTTTTCTAGATAGCTTTCAGGATAATATTCTTAATATTTTCAACTTCTTGATTTGTGTCTTGTTTCTTCTAGCTACACCCTTGGCAGATTTTCTTCTAACCTTTTGATATCTGTTTGCAGATAGGAGAAAGAATTCGAGTCATCTTGGACATGGAAGATAAGACTTTAGCTTTTGAACGTGGATATGAGTTCCTGGGGGTTGCTTTTAGAGGACTTCCAAAGGTCTGCTTATACCCAGCAGTTTCTGCTGTATATGGCAACACAGAAGTGACTTTGGTTTACCTTGGAAAACCTTTGGACGGATGACAGTGGCTTTCTTGTGATGACAGACAGAATGGAGGAGAGATCTGCTTATGGGAAGTAGAACCATGAAGTGACTGTCACACATGCATGTCCAAGAAACATCCTGAAAACACATGAAGTCGTAAACTGGAGAAGCAGCTCTACAGCAGAGATTATCTTCGTGTTTCCTCTTTCTACTGGGCCAGAAAAATCCTCAGGGTTGCAGTTGGTTGAGTGGGCAGTTGACATATGCATGTTGCACCCGATGTTGTCTCTAAGTTAGCAATGTGTTATTTCCAGCTTTAAAGGTGAGATTGTAGAGATGCTGTCAAAGGGATAAGGAAATAGCAAGATTTTTAAGTAGTGTGTTTGTGAAGACTGATCCCATTTTACAACTGCCTGTTCTTTCTCCAGTCCTTTTTTTTCCAGCCAGCTTGACTATTAGAAAAGTATGAAACTGGTTGGGTTTTATTTAATATTTTTAATATATTGAGAAGCATGGTCTGCCTGGACTGCACTTCTCTAAAAGTGAGATATAAAATTGTGCAGCTATTTTAAAAGTTGTATATAATATGTGTGTAAAAAAAAAAAACTGTAAAAAAGAAAGGACAAACAGGTTGTTTTGTTCTAGTTCTAATTTCTTAAAAACCACTACATGGTTACAAAATTGGAATAACATTTGGGGACAACTGGGTTAACTACAAAGAAGAGGATTTTAAGAGGAGATGTGTTGTATTGACTCATTTTGTATTATTTTTGGCTTACAGTTCCCATAGCTGTTAGAGTCTGGTTTGTTTTTGTTTTTACTCTCAAAATCATAGTAAAGATCTCTCAGTCTCCTGGCTAAAGATTGAAGGAAGGCAAATCTATTTCTAATTATACATATATCAGTAAGGATGATCTCAACATAATAGTAATGTGTATCTTTTGGTATCCAGTTTTATTTTTGGCCTTCTAAGAAAGTGTCTCATAACACAGAACATTGCCATTTGCTCTTGTAGGCCTCAAATATGAAAGCTATTAGTCATAGAGCCTAGGAAAAAAAGAATTGATTAATGGTCCTTTTATTTTGTAACCTTATAAATGCTGTAGATATTATCAAAAAAATTTTAATTTCATATTGTTTACATCATGCAACTAATCTAAGCCTCAAACTCGTTATTGGGGCTATAAAGAAAACGTTTACTTACCCAGCTGAAACAGGTTAAGAATATTCTTAATCTCATTATAGATAATTGCCCCCATGGGACTTGAAATACAACACCTTGTGCTGAAAACTTCAGGTTGGCAATATTTGAAGGTTTCGTTGTAGAAGAGTTTAACATTAACTCCTATTTTGACTTACAAATCTTGTTTCTCATCACTAAAATGCTTTTGAATTAATAATCCAACCCACATGAGCTGAGAGTTTTTCTTTTGTTAGAAAAGAAACAGACATCTTTCTGTATGAAAGTATAAATTGTATGGTTTTAGATACATAAGAATTGACAAAAGCGAGCGAAATCTTTGTACTTCTGAGTTCTTGCTGTATGTATGTTTTGTTTTAAATCTGATTAGGGACACCCAGCAGCTGGCCGGGATTCTTGGATTGCTCCTTGGGAGTTAAGATTGTCAATACTCCTGTGAAGCAAGGGATTTCAGCCATAGAACAAAGATTTATTGTTGCCACCTGAAAAGTTTACAAGTATTTATTGTGTATTTGATACATTGCTTGAAAAGATGAAATCTGTTAAAGATTCTTTTCGATGTCCAGGTTAAGAAGAAACCTCCTTGTATTGAGTGAAATTATATGTTAAATGTATTAGAGAATGTAGGTGGTATAGAAATTGATTTTTCTTGGTGTAGAACAACTCAGTTCGGCAAAGTTTAAAATTTGATTAAACAAGAGAAGTGGTTCAGGTTGAAGATGGACTTGTTAGGAAGTGATCAAGTCCTTTAAGTACTTGTTTCTTTTTCAGGTTGTGATGTGGCCATTCCGAATTTTGTTGAGAGTTTGGTTTATAATTGTCTCTTTTGTCTTGTTAGTAAACATTCATTTGCAACAGTTTTGAAGGTGCTGAGTGGAAAACCGAAACACATGGTTATTGCGTATTGGACCTAGAATGAAATAATTGCCTCAATATTTAACAACAAGCCATTCTTATCTCAAAGATTTAAATTCCCGAATGTCCCATTCGCAAATCATATGCAATTGAAGTGAGCAGCATGAGCATCTGGGTCATGAGGGCCTTCATTTACGTAAATTTGTCACTAAAACCCAGTAGTAGCTCTACAAAATCTTAAACTGCTGCAGTGCTCAAGGAGATGGAATATCTTTGTCATTGGTGCTGAGGAGAGCATTTCGGTAGAAGACAGTTGCGCCTGAAGATTGAGTGTAAATCATTCAAACCAGTGGTTCTCAGTGTTGGCTGTATACACTTTGTAGTCACTTTGGAATGTTGGAAGACACATCGATGCTTGGGTTCCGTATGCCAAGATTCTGATGTTGGTCTGGAATATGAGCTGGTCATAAGGATTTTTAAAAACTTTCTGGTCATTTCAATATGCTGCCAAGGTTGAGAACCACTGTTGTAAAATTCACCTTGAGTTTTCTCATCTGCAAAATAGAAAAAAAAAAATCCTTGCTCCCTCCCTTCACTACCTCACAAGGATATTGAGGGTAAAGGAGAAAATAATGGGAAAGTGCTTGTGCCGTGGATGAAAAGTGCTATTAAAAGTCAAAGGAGTGTTCTGTTTCAATTCATAGTATGATCAGGGAAAGTGTAACTGAGTATACTTTGTTGACTTGGGAAACCTGGAGCACTTTCTTTGGTTGGTTAACGAAGCATGCAGATGTGGAAGCAGACGTTACTATTATCCCTACTATGGTCTTCTGTCATACTGAGACAGGCTGTTTTAATTACCTGGTTTTACATAGGAAAGAAGAAATATTAAGGCTTAAAGTTTGTAATGATCAATGGCTCATAATTCATTAAATCTTTTCATACAAGGAATTTGTGGTTAATGTCATTTCATAGTTGCCATTATTTTCTCATTATTTGACTTAAATGTTAAGCCATTTATTTCATCTCCCTCATTCACATAAAGTGTAGATATGGATTCAATAAGACACCAAAAGAAAGTAAGATTTACCCAGTTAATATTTAAAATCATTGTTCAGTGATTAGGCATTTTCTGCCTTTTAGAATTATTTGACTGGAGAAAGAGTTTCAAAAATAGCAGAGCCCTAAACCATAAAGAAACTACTACTGTATAATGAACTTTTGTTTGTTTTTGGAGACAGGGTTTCACTCTACTGCCTAGGCAGGTCTTGAACTCCTGGGCTCAAGCAGTCTTCCTGCCTCAGCCTCCCAAGTAGCTGGGATTACAGGTGTATGCCACTATACCCAGCTTTAACTTTTAAATCCCCAAACTATGTAGATTGTCATATTAATATTAATTTTTTTTTGTTATTTTGAAGAAGTGAGTAATTTGAAGAGATAGAAACTTAGGGAGTGGTGTGTGTGTTTCTTTTTTGGAGACAGAGTCACGCAGGCTGGAGTGCACGATCTTGACTCACTGCAACCTTTGCCACCCAGGTTCAAGCAATTCTCGTGCCTCAGCCTCCCGAGTAGCATGTGCCACCACACCTGGCTAATTTTTTTCTTTTTTCTTTTAGACGGAGTCTTGCTCTGTTGCCCAGGCTGGAGTGCGGTGGTGTGATCTCAGTTCACTGCAACCTTTGCCTCCCGGGTTCAAGTGATTCTCCTGCCTCAGTCTCCCGAGTAGCTGGGATTACAGGCACCTGCCACCATGCCTGGCTAATTTTTGTATTTTTAATAGAGACGGGGTTTCACCATGTTGGCCAGGCTGGTCTCGAACTCCTGACCTTGTGATCCACCCACCTCAGCCTCCCAAAGTGCTGGGATTACAGGCATGAGCCACTGTTCCCGGGCCTAATCTTTGTATTTTTAGTAGAGGGGGTTTATGCCATGTTGGCCAGGCTGGTCTTGAACTCCTGGCCAACACCACCCACCTCGCCTCCCAAAGTGCTGGGGTTACAGGCGCGAGCCACCGTGCCAGGCCAGAAATTTAAGGAGTTTTAAAGGTTAGCATTGAAAAGATTACTTTCCAGAAATTGAGACCACCACAGTTCCACAATTGGGACTGTGGTAGATAATCAGGACCACTTGGAAGCCTTTATTAGGAACAGCCCACACCCAGCCCAAATGCTGTCCTCAAAAACATTCCTCAGTTTCTCTAGCTGAATGTAATCTCTCCTTGAAATTTCCCTAGTTTTATATATCTATAGTTGACTCATGCTGTATTTATTTATACCTTGTTTAAAATTATTTATTGATTATTTATTGGTGTCATATCGCCCCTAAACTGGGACAGGATCTCTAACGGACTCATCTTTGTGCCACAACATGTAAGCCCAATAGGCAGGTGCTCACATATTTGCTGAAGGAACAGAGAAAGAACTGCGGAGAAAGACAAAAGCTCCTCTGAAGTTTTAGACTATAGAAGCAAAAATTATAGTAGCAAAAGATGAATGAGAAATTCTGTTCTAGTCCCAGTGAAGCAGGAAGGAAAGGGTTGCAAACTTGAGGCTGGTAAGGAAGAAATAATTACTGTGAATGCATTTAGCCACTCCCCTCTACTCAAAAATACTGGTAAACTCTGATTTTTATATTTGTTTAGAATTTAAATTAGAATTCTGTATCTTTATTTTTTGGAATTCTGTTGTTTTGCCTTAGTTTCTTAATAAAAAGTTAAACATTAACCACCTGTGATTGCTTACATTTAAAGACATTTTTTACACATTGGTTAGAAAGAAAAATTGGGGTGCCTTAATAGCCAGAGGTGGTGATGGAATTTACCTATAAATTCCATGGCTTTAATAATAGAATCCACATTCCCCATGTTTAGAATGGAAAGTGGACAGAGAACAGTAATTCACTAGGGTCTTATTTCCCAATTGCCTCTACCGCCCCCCACCCCACCCTCCTGCTGACATTTGTTTGATAATGCAGTTGTTTGCCAAGAATTATGAGAGACAGGCATGCTATTCCTGAACTGGCTGAATACACGGCTCCTGTGATCCAAAAGCTTAAAAGAGAATCAGTTGATGATGTTGCTAAACAAGTTGGCTGATATGTTAAAGTTCAAAGCATTTTAATTTTTTTTTTTTTTTTTTTTTTTTTTTTTTTTTTTTTTTTTTTTTTGAGACAAAGTCTTGCTCTGTCACCCAGGCTGGAGAGCAGTTGATGTGCTCTCGGCTCATTGCAACCCCTGCCTCAGGTGATCCGTGTGCCTCGGCCTCCCAAAGTGCTGGGATTACAGGCATGAGCCACCGTGCCCAGCCCAAAGCATTTAAATTTTATAAAAGAAAAATAGGTGTAAATGTTCTGTATTTGCCGCTTTGTTTAGTGGAAAGAGACGCCAGAGACAGCTTTACCAGTCTGTTGTCCTGATTTCTTTTTTGGATCCTCCCTCGAACTGTTTGCTTCTTATTTAATGTGTTCACTAAAATACTGTTGAGAGCAACATGTTCTCTAGTCTTCAGAATAATAGTTTGCTGAAAGAAGTAGCCCTTTAAGATTTAAGATTGTTATTCAGCTTTTGTATGTAGGATTTCATGATGAGTGGCTCAAGAAGTAGGAATCATTTGGGGAGTTTCCTTAGGTCACCCTGTTGATAGTGTTTAATTTCTGTTTAAGGCAGGAAAACATTAAGAAAAGATTAGAGAAGTCAAGTCCTGTCTATGATATGATATGATACTTGTACACCATGTTATATTTCTGCCCCCTTTCCTGTATAAATAAAATGGGGATAAAATCAAGTAATGGTTTTGAGGTCATAGCTCCCTTAAGAAAGTCTCCCTGAAATAATGTATTAAAATTCTAGCGTCTCAAGTTAGATTCATTAGAGGCATATTGTAGTGGGAACAGACCAGATATCTTTGTTTATTTTAATATAGCTAACTTGTTCATATTCCCAACCCATGTTTAAAGAGCATATGATTGATCTGTGCCCCCTTGTTGGTCATCTTCACCTTGGAAGGAAAGGAGGCTTAAGGTTGCAATGAGAGTTGTTGATGACATCTCTAACCCCTCAGTAGGCCAAAGAGTGATGTAGTTCATGATCCAATTGCCCAGAATAGCACGGACAGATGGTTACTTTGCTAAAAGACATGTTGGTAGCAAAGACACTGCTCTGAGCAGAGACTGGTGGCAAAGCCCAGCGCAATCCACCCTTCTGAGCACAGCCTACAGGAACTTCAGTGCCGACGGAGTCACGGAGGCCACTCTAGGTTTTACATGGCCATAGTTGAGCTTCTGAAATTTTGAAGGATCTCCCTGCCCACCCAGCTACTAGTCATCCACTTGGTAATGTAGACAGAATGAAAAAGGCAGGAAAGATCATTCATCAAATTATTTTCTAACATCCGTTATCTAGCAGGCTTTTACCAGGTACTAGAGATGGAAAGATGAGAAGGAAAAATCGAAGTTGCTGACAAGCTTCTGTGAAAGCAAATGTGGAAACAGACTACTGTGAAACTGAGGTAACTGCTTTAACGAAATTACAGGTGAGGTCCAGGGTGGCATAGGAGAGGGAATAGTTAACCTGGGGCGATGTTTAAGCTGAGCTTAGAAGATAGTAGGTGGGAGCTAATGAGGATAAATCCACTGTTCCAGGCAAGTGGGATAGGACGTGCTATGATACGGAGGCACAGATAGGTCCGCTATGTCTGGAACCATGCTGGACAAGTGGTGGGGGAGGGCATGGAACAGGGAAATTGCGTCTGGATTATAATTGCCATACCAAATAGTTTGGGTTTTGTCTATTTTTTCATGGGGGAAGCCATTCAAAAGTTTTCAGCAGGGGCATGATTAGCTACAAAAACCAATATCTGAAAGGTGGGAGTCAGGAGGTCTAGGCAGAAAATGATGAGGACCTAAACTAAGGTGACTAAAGATGGAGGAGGGATGTATTTAAGAGAATGCAGGAACACATGTGGACACCATTTGTATGTCAAGAGTGAGAAGCTTTTTGGTGCAGACATTTATAAGGTACTGCTTATTAAGAAAGGGTATTGAAAAGGAGGAATAGATTGGGAGGTGAGGGGCCGAGCGCAGTGGCTCACATCTGTCATCCCAGCACTTTGGGAGGCTGAGGTGGGCAGATCACCTGAGGCCAGGAGTTCGAGACCAGCCTGGCCAACGTGGTGAAACCCCGCCTCTACTAAAAATACAAAAATTAGTCGGTTGTGGTGGCAGGTGCCTGTAATCCCAGCTACTCGGGAGGCTGAGGCAGGAGAATGGCGGGAACCCAGGAGGCGGAGCTTGCAGTGAGCCGAGATCGCGCCATTGCACTCCAGCCTGGGTGACAGAGCGAGACTCTGTCTCAAAAAAAAAGATTGGGGGGTGAGGGTAACGAGTGCGGTTTTGAACATGTTAAATCGGAGGTGGAAATACAGAAAAGGCAGTTGGAACTAGTGAGCCTGGAGTTAAGGAGATCGGCAGCCAGCTGGATGAGAGAGCTGCTGGTGTGCCGCGTTCCTCACTGGCCGTACGGGCTCCACAGCCCAGCGGGTAGAGCGAGGGAGGCGGGCCTGCAATACCCCCAAAGGACAACCAACTGCCTTCTAAACCGTGACTCTGCCAACTAAAGGCTGCGGGGGTGTTTTGTTGTTTCGGGATTTTTCTTTTCCTTACATACCCCACACCTCTGAATAACAATCCTAGCAGTTCAATTTTTTTTTTTTTTCTTGGAGACAGAGTCTCGCTCTGTCGCCCAGGCTGGAGTGCGGTGGTGTGATCTCGGCTCACTGCAACCTCCGCCTCCCGGGTTCCAGCCATTCTCCTGCCTCAGCCTCCCGAGTAGCTGGGATTACAGGCGCCCGCCACCACGCCCGGCTAATTTTTGTATTTTTAGGAGAGATGGAGTTTCACCGTGTTAGCCAGGATGGTCTTGATCTCTTGACCTCGTGATCTGCCCGCCTCGGCCTCCCAAAGTGCTGGGATTACAGGCGTGAGCCACCGCGCCCAGCCTCAGTTCAAAATTTTTAGGTGCCTCTTTTTAATTTTGGGAGAAGCTCAGCAATGTTCTATCATTTTGGTCTTGAGGCAAGACCACTGGATCAACAGCACAGGACTCATGCGGTCTAAGTCCTGGGGGCGCTGCTGGTCACGACGCGATTCCGGAGCAGATGTCTTCCTTCCTGGGGCTGTTGCTGAGGCTGACCTAGCTCAATGCTTCTCATTTTGGGATGCCCACTAGAATCACCTGGGGAGTTTTTTATTTCTTTAAATTAGCTTTATTGAGATAATAACTGACATCAAACAAGCTATACCTATTTACCAGTGCACAATTTGATAAGCTTTGATGTATGTATATATCCATCACAATCAAGATAGCCTATATGTGGGAAGCTTTTAAAAGATAAGATGCAGCCGGGCGCGGTGGCTCACGCCTGTAATCCCAGCACTTTGGGAGGCCGAGGCAGGCGGATCACCTGAGGTCGGGAGTTCGAGACCAGCCTGACCAGCATGGAGAAACCCCGTCTCTACTAAAAATACAAAAATTAGCCGGGTGTGGTGGCGCGTGCCTGTTATCCCAGCTACTCGGGAGACTGAGGCAGGAGAATCATTTGAACTCGGGAGGGGGAGGTTGCAGTGAGCTGAGATCCAGCCATTGCACTCCAGCCTGGGCAACAAGAGCAAAACTCCTTCTCAAATAAATAAATAAGATGCCCTAGCAAATTAAATTCCATGGAGTAGTAGAGTGGAGTTTTGTTTGTTTGTTTTTGTTGTTGGTTTTTTTTGAGACAGAGTCTCACTCTCTCCCAGGCTGGAGTGCAGTGGCCCGATCTCGGCTCACTGCAAGCTCCGCCTCCCGAGTTCACGCCATTCTCCTGCCTCAGCCTCCCAAGTAGCTGGGACTACAGGCGCCCGCCACCACGCCCAGCTAATTTTTTGCATTTTTAATAGAGACGGGGTTTCACCGTGTTAACCAGGATGGTCTCAATCTCCTCATCTCGTGATCCACCCCCCTCGGCCTCCCAAAGTGCTGGGATTACAGGTGTGAGCCAACGCACCCAGCCTTTTGTTTGTTTTTAAGTCTCCAGGTACTTCTCCCCTGAACTAGGAGACCACCATTCAGGAATGACATTTGAGCAGCCTCAAGTGGAGGCAAAAATCTCTGGTTTATTTTATGTTACGATTTGATTATTTTATTTTATTTTATTTATTTTATTTTTTGAGACGGAGTCTCACTCTGTTGCCTAGGCTGGAATACAGTGGCGCGATCTTGGCTCACTGGAACCTTTGCCTCCTGGCTGCAAGCGACTCTCCTGCCTCAGCCTCTTGAGTAGCTGGGATTACAGGCAAGTGCCACCATGCCCAGCTAAATTTTGTATTTTTAGTAGAGACGGGGTTTCACCATGTTGGTCAGGCTGGTCTCGAACTCCTGACCTTGTGATCCACCCGCCTGGGCCTCCCAAAGTGCAGGGATTACAGACGTGAGCCACCGTGCCAGGCAAAAATCTCTGGTTTATAACCAGGAAAATTGTATGAGAAAAAAGAGCTCTAGCTCTAGAGACCAAGAGCAAGGTGATGGCAGTGCCAGAGTGAGCACCTAAGGCAAGACTGTCTCTTCTGTGGGTCTTTCTATGGCCCTTAGTGAGCTAAAGTGAGGCTGTCATTTAAAAGAGGTTCTAGCCCGGGTGCGGTGGCTCACGCCTGCCATCCCAGCACTTTGGGAGGCCAAGGCGGACAGATTATGAGATCAGGAGTTCAAGATCAGGCTGGCGAACATGGTGAAACCCCAGCTCTACTAATAATACAAAAATTAGCTGGGTGTGGTGGTGGGTGCCTGTAATCCCAGCTACTCGGGAGGCTGAGGCAGGAGAATCGCTTGAACCCAGGAGGCAGAGGTTGCAGTGAGTCAAGATGGTGCCACTGCACTCCAGCCTGGGCCACACAGTGAGACTCCGTCTCAGGAAAAAAAAAAAAAAAAAAAAAAAGAGGTGTCCTTATCAGGATTCTTTCAGGAATTAGTGCTTTGGTCCTTCCTATATCGGAGTGGCAATGACATTTGGGTGCCTAACCAAAGCTGAGCAGCTGCACCTGTGGTTTGTCACATCTTAAAATCAAACTTCTTATCTCTGATAAAAGGAGATATAATGATTGAAAATTGCTACAGGAAAGAAACAATAAAACCTAATGTCATGGGCTGAGTTGCATCCCCTTGAAAATTTATATGTTGAAATCCTCCAGTACCGCAGAATGTGACCTTATTTGTAAATGGGGTCATCTCAGATGTTACTAGTTAAGATGAGGTCATACCAGAAAAGACTGGGTCCCTAATTTAAGATAACTGGTATCCTTATGAAAAAGAGATTTAGACGCAGACATGCACACAGGGAGGATCCCATGTGAAGATGAAGGCAGCGATCAGGGCCATCCAGCAGATGCCAAGTGCCAAAAACTGCCAGCAAACCAACAGAAACCGGGCAGCGGCGCGAAGCAGATTCTTCCGCACCACCCTCAGAGGAAACCAGCCCTGCTGACACCTTCATCTCAGACTTCTAGCCTCCAGGACTGTGGGACGATACTTTTTTCTTTTTTTTTTTTTGAGACGGAGTCTCGCTCTGTCGCCCAGGCTGGAGTGCAGTAGTGCAATCTTGGCTCACTGCAAGCTCCGCCTCCCGGGTTCAAGCAATTCTCCTGTCCCAGCCTCCTGAGTAGCGGGGGTTACAGGCGCCCACCACCATGCCCGGCTAATTTTTGTATTTTTAGTAGAGACGCGGTTTCACCATATTGGTCAGGCTCGTCTTGAACTCCTGACCTTAGGTGATCCCCCTGCCTCGGCCTCCCAAAGTGCTGGGATTACAGGCGGGAGCCACTGCGCCCGGCAAGGGACGATACATTTTTGTCGTTGAAGCCACCAACTTTGTGGTACTTTGCTGTGGCAACCCTAGGAAACACACCTTTTAATTTTTCTCTCTACCAATTCTATTTCTTTCTGGAGGCAACTTTGATTTTGTGTTTGGTTGTTCGCCGGAACCATGGGAAAGGCCAGGAACAGTTTTAAGGTGTTAAGGTTTGTTGGAAGGTCTTTGTCAGGTTGCATTCGTAACCCAGTGTTTGTAAAGTACTTAGTGTAGTGGTTAGGGGCATGGATTCTGGGGTCATGAATTCAAACCCACGTTCTACCACTTACTAGTTCTGTGACCCTGGGTGGGACATTTGATCCCTCCAAGCCTCAGTTCCCTTATCTGTAAAATGGGGGGCGGGGGGAATCGTGCTACTTACTTTAAAAGGTGATGTGAGCATTACATGAAACGCACATTGAGCCACTTAGAACAGTGCCAGGAGTGTAGTAAGTATTCACTGTATTTCTCATTATTATTACTGAACTGTTCTATAATAGGTAAGTATCATTAGGAGCCAACCATGGAAGAAAAGCAATTTTAGTCACTAAAAAAAAAAAAATTGTGGTGAAATATAAAACATTCCATTCATCTGGTTCTAAAATTAAGAATAGGAAACATTTTAAAATAGGAAATGTTTTAAAATTTAGGAAACATTTAAAAATATTCAAAGCAACAGAACCTGAGGTAGTACAAGCAAAATAAGTTTATTTTAGAGATACAGGGCTGGCTCCCAGAGATCAATAGCAGGAATGCCTTGTTTTTCATGAGGAAGTTGGACAAAGCAATGGAAAGCCATCAGGAGCCTGGGAATACCACCTCTTCCTTATTCCCGAGACATTTCTTCATTCTTTCCCCAAACTTCCTCTTCTACATAGTCCACGTTGTGAAAAATGGCCACCCACACTTCTCCCCTCCATCCAAGAGATCACCTCGGGGTCTCAGATAGACTCCAATTCCTACTACTGGTCCAATCAGCTATGGCCATGGGATGGGGAGTGGGCTCACACGGTACCTAGGATGCCACTGGGGTCTCAGCCCTACGACTCTGTGGCTGGGGGATGAGGGGGAGGGAAGTCATAAAGAAGAGAGAATGGGTACTGCAGGAAGACACTAATAAACATGCTTCCTCCCACCCCCAAAGTTTGGCCATATGAGGAATAGCACATTTGAGGACTCCCCAGAAGAAAAACGACAAAGGAGGCTGAAAGGAGTGAAGAGGAAAAAAGATACAGAGGGGAGAGCAAGGTAACCCCATCAAGTACTGGAGACTCACAGCAAGACAGCCACCCAGAGGGGGAGCACAGCGTCTCGGTGTAAGACTCAGGGTGGTGCCTTGCCCAGCCTCTGCCCTGAGAAGCAACAGACACTACCTGCGCTGTCAGGGGCTGTGTCTGAGCAGGAGCTGGTTTGCTA
This sequence comes from Homo sapiens, assembly GCF_000001405.40. NCBI lineage: Eukaryota > Metazoa > Chordata > Mammalia > Primates > Hominidae > Homo > Homo sapiens. The sequence goes on from NC_000003.12 coordinate 196,596,629, forward strand.
AATCAAGGGCAAGAAGAGAAAGCTCAGGTCTTTTGGGTCTTGAAGAAACTGTACTTCTTACCTCGTCCTTCTCTTCTCTGTTTTAAGGGAGAGACTAAAGAATGGTGAGGTTTGAAACTCAGAGGAAAACCAGCTTGGTGATCTGTTTTTTGTTTAGCTGACACGAAATCATTCACACCCAGCAGCTCACTGCCTGCTTATTTTAAGCATGAAAAATGAGGGTAATAAGTTTCTCCCTCTCTTGTGGGAATTATGTTCATATCTTTCACTGGACTCCTTTCCTACACACCCAGAGCTTAATTTTGGTTACTTTTGGAATACTAAAATGAACTGAGGGTCCCAGCCTGGAAGGGAGTTTGGTGATGAGGTGAAATGAAGTATTTTAGGGCAAGGATGGCAACGGAATTCAAATCCTCTGCCGTGACACCCAAGTGAAATGCTCTGCTTCTCACAGAGTGACACTTAGAGCTGTGGGTTTTGAGACAGATAGAAAGGGATCTCTCTTGGTTTTTTGTTTGTTTTTTGAGATGGAGTTTCGCTGTTGTTGCCCGGGCTGGAGTGCGATGGCGCAATCTCGGCTCACTGCAACCTCTGCCTCCCAGGTTCAAGCGATTCTCCTGCCTCAGCCTCCCAAGTAGCTGGGATTACAGATGCCCGCCACCATGCCCAGCTAATTTTGTATTTTTAGTAGAAACAGGCTTTCTCCATGTTGGTCAGGCTGGTCTCAAACTCCCAACCTCAGGTGATCCACACGCCTTGGCTTCCCGAAATGCTGGGATTACAGGCGTGAGCCACTGCGCCTGGTTGAAAAGGATCTCTTGTAGGAAGATGGAACCCAGAGGGGCTTAAGAGGACCTACGCACCCGCAGGCCTCCTCTCCCTGCACAAAAACATAGGCGTCCCCTGATTTCATGACCAGTTGTCATGAAATCACACCCAAGTCCCTCACTTAGAAACCCCCACGATGAGTTAAACTATTCACTGGCCGGGCGTGGTGGCTCATGCCTGTAATCCCAACACTTTGGGAGGCTGAGACAGTTGGACTACCTGAGGTCAGGAGTTCGAAACCAGCCTGGCCAAGATGGCAAAACCCTGTCTCTACTAAAAATACAAAAATTAGCCGGGCATGGTGGTGGGCACCTGTAATCCCAGCTACTCAGGAGGCTGAGGAAGGAGAATCGCTTGAAGCTGGGAGGCGGAGGTTGCAGTGAGCCAAGATCGCACCACTGCACTCCAGCCCGGCCGACAGTGAGACTCAGTCTCAAAAAACAAAAACAAAAACAAAACAAAACAAAAAAACACCGTTGCCTGCAGCTTCCCTGCCCATAAAGAAACGCATGCTATAGTGAAGGAAAGTGGCACAGCCTTGTCTTCTATGCATCTGCCTTCCAAGACCTTATCAGAAGTGGCTGGTGCACAATTTATGATTGAGGTCTTCTTACCTCTTTTCCCATCATAATCATGACTAGCAGCAAGAATGGAACATGTAGAGCCCTAGTCTAGGCAATCAATATAGCACTCACATTCCTTTGACTCAGCCCCTCCTCCATGGAATATGCAGCGCGGGTACTGTTAGTGTGTCTGGAATTGGTGGGTTCTTGGTCTCACTGACTTCAAGACTGAAGCCGCGGACCCTCGCGGTGAGTGTTACAGCTCTTAAGGGCGCGCGTCTGGAGTTTGTTCCTTCTGATGTTCGGATGTGTTCGGAGTTTTTTCTTTCTGGTGGGCTGCAGACTTTCGCGGTGAGTGTTACAGCTCTTAAAGCGGCGCATCTGGAGTTGCTTGTTCCTCCCGCTGGGCTCGTGGTCTCACTGGCTTCAGGAGTGAAGCTGCAGACTTTTGTGGTGAGTGTTACAGCTCATAAAAAGCAGCGTGGACCCAGTGAGCAGCAGCAAGATTTATTGCAAAAAGCCAAAGAACAGAGCTTCCACACAATGGAAGGGGACCGGAACGGCTTGCCGCTGCTGGCTCGGGCAGCCTGCTTTTATTCTCTTATCTGGCCCCACCCACATCCTGTTGATTGGTAGAGCCTAGAGGCCTGTTTTGACAGGGCGCTGATTGGTGCGTTTACAATCCCTGAGCTAGATACAAAGGTTCTCCACGTCCCCATCAGATTAGTTAGATACGGAGTTTCCACACACAGGTTCTCCAAGGCCCCACCAGAGCAGCTAGATACAGAGTGTCGATTGGTGCACTCACAAACCCTGAGCTAGACACAGGGTGCTGATTGGTGTGTTTACAAACCTTGAGCTAGATACAGAGTGTGGATTGGTGTGTTTACAATCCCTGAGCTAGACATAAAGGTTCTCCACGTCCCCACCAGACTCAGGAGCCCAGCTGGCTTCGCCCAGTGGATCCCGCACTGGGGCTGCAGGTGGAGCTGCCTGCCAGTCCTGCGCGTGCGCCCGCACTCCTCAGCCCTTGGGTGGTCGATGGGACTGGGCATGGTGGAGCAGGGGGTGGCGCTCGTCGGGGAGGCCCGGGCCGCACAGGAGCCCACGGAGGGGGTGGGAAGCTCAGGCAGGGCGGGCTGCGGGTCCCGAGCCCTGCCGAGCGGGAAGGCAGCTAAGGCCCGGTGAGAAATCGAGCACATCGCTGGTGGGCTGGCACTGCTGGGGGACCCAGTACACCCTCCGCAGCCGCTGGCCCGGGTGCTAAGCCCCTCATTGCCCGGGGCCAGCAGGGCCCGCCAGCTGCTCCGAGTGCGGGGCCCGCCAAGCCCACGCCTACCCGGAATTCCAGCTGGCCCGCAAGCGCCGCACGCAGCCCCGGTTCCCGCTCGCGCCTCTCCCTCCACACCTCCCTGCAAGCTGAGGGAGCGGGCTCCGGTCTTGGCCAGCCCAGAAAGGGGCTCCCACAGTGCAGTGGGGGGCTGAAGGGCTCCTCAAGTGCCGCCAAAGTGGAAGCCCAGGCAGAGGCGGGCCGAGAGCAAGCGAGGGCTCTGAGGACTGCCAGCACGCTGTCACCTCTCATTAGGACTCTGCAGCGCGGGTACTGTTAGGACTCTGCAGCGCGGGTACTGTTAGGACTGGGTCCCTGCACTCCAGGTCTTCAGAGATGTTGTGCTTAATATTTCTGGGCACCTGCTATGTGTTTTATCTACATTACTTGATTTATTTATTAGAATATCTTGATGGTATTCACATTCGTGGAACACTGAGGCTCACAGACGATAAATAACTTGCTAAAGTCACACACCTTAAGTTTCAGAGTCTTGTTTCAGCCTAGATCTCTGACTCAAAACTTTGGTTACTTTCTCCTCAAGGGGGAGGCAGACGTGTCGCAGATAAACATCCAATAACAAGTAAGTGCTCTTGAAGAGATAAACATGAGTAGTGCTGGGGTGGCTGACTTGCCTGGAGAGTCAGTAGATACATTTTGACTGTTGTTTTATTTACCAGGACTGGAGAGGAAAATGGGAAGAACATATATTCTCTCTCTTCACAGCCAGCTCCTCTCTGCTCCTCTCCTCGCTTCTGTGAACAATTCCCTCAGCCTGTGTATGAATCATGATCACCATTCACTATAGAACCCTGACCTGTGTCCGGGTTGCCAGACATAATACAGGATGCCTGATGAAATTTCAGATCAATGAATAGTTTTTTAGTATACATACATACCCAATGTTGCATGAAATATAATGATACTAAAGAATTATTCGTGTTTAAAATTCAAATTTCACTGTGGGCACTGCATTTTTTCCCAATTTTCAAACTGTGGTACTGTACACATAATGTAAAATGTTTACCATCTTAACCAATTTCAAGTGTACAGTTAGTGGTACTAAATACATTCATGATGTGTGCAACCATCAGCACCATCCATCTCCAGAACTTTGTTTGTTTGCTTATTTGTTTAGTAGAGATGGGGTCTTGCTGTGTTGCCCAGGCTGGTCTCCTGCTCCGTGACTCAAGTGATCCTCTCGCCTCGGCCTCCCAAAGGCTGGGAATACAGGCGCAAGCCACCATGCCCGGCCTCTCGAGCTCTTTTATCTTGTAAAATTGAAACCTTATGTCTACTAAACAATAACTCTACATTCCCCCAACTCCCCAGTCCCCGGCAACCACCATGCTACTTTGTGTATCTGTGATTTTGACTCCTCTAAACACTGCAGATAAGTGGAATTACACAGTATTTGCCCTTTTGTGACTGGCTTATTTCACTTAGTGTAATATCCTCAAGGTTCATTCATATGTTGTAGGATGTGTCAGAATTTTTTTCCTCTGTAAGACTGAAGACTGTTCCATCGAGCCACGTTTTGCTTATCCATTCATTCGTTGATGGACTCTGGGTTGCTTCCACGCTGTAGCTGCTGTGAGGAACGCTGCTGTGAACACGGGTGTGCAAAGGTCTCTTTGAGGCTCTGCTTTCGGTTCTTGTGGGTCTATTCTCAGCAGTGGGATGCTGAATCATACAGCCATTCTCTGTTTTATTTTTCGAGGAACTGCCAGACTGTTTTCCAGGCTGGCTGCACATTTTACACTCCCACCAGCCGTGCACGAGGATTCCATTTCTCCACGTCCTCACCAACGCGTCTATCTGATGTTTTCGTTTTCCCAAATAGCCATCCTAAAGGGTGTGAGGTGAGGGCATTCTTTATTTGTATTTGCCAAATGTAGCGACCCTAAAGCCCAGCCAGAGACCTCTTGCCGGGCTCTGATGTCACACCTTGCCCATCTAACCCTTGCCTTTTCTGTGTCGCATCCTGGCCTGGACTCCTGGTCCTCTGGTCCTCACCCAGCCTCTCCTCATTTACTGCTGCCCATGCCTCAGTGTGAGACTGTGTCTGGGGCTCTCGTCACCTCTTCTTGCCTTGCTCCCTCTGAGAGCACCTCGCTGGCACCACACTGACAGGTTGGCACCATAGGCTGAGCCTGAATGTAGAAACTGGCAGAACATCAACTCAAAGGAAATGTCCCAAGAGGAGAAAATGTTGAGACAGCAAAAGTCTGTGGCCTAATCTCAGAGCACTCACAGTTATAGATCCCTGACACTTTGCAGGCCAGAAGAAGCTGAATTTTTAGTTATTTGATCCTTTCCCCAGTTAGGGTTCCAGCTTCCTCCTCCTTTCCCTTTTTCAGATACTAAGAACCCACCATGAGCACCACACTGACAGGCCGGCATAGACAAGTAAAACTCTGCCCTCAAGGATCTAGGCCCAGTGAGGAAGCCGAGACCTTTCTAAATAGTTGTAACATATAGAAAATGAGAACAGCTGAAGGAAGTGCAGGAGGAACGCCACATGAGGGCATTTGCGGGTGAGGGAGGGTCCAAGGAACTTTGTGGAGCAGGTGTCATCTGAGCAGAACCTTAAAAGATAAATGGTATTTAAGCATGTATCAATTTGCCAAATAAAATTGTTAACACAAATTTATATTTATTTATTTATTTATTTGGAGATGGAGTCTCGCTCTGTCGCCCAGGCTGGAGTGCAATGGTGTGATCTTGGCTCACTGGAACCTCCACCTCCCAAGTTCAAGCGATTATCTTGCCTCAGCCTCCCAAGTAGCTGGGACTACAGGTGCACACCATCACGCCCGGCTAATTTTTGTATTTTTAGTAGAGACTGGTTTCACCATGTTAGCCAGGCTGGTGATCTAGCCATAGGTGATCTACCCACCTTGGCCTCCCAAAGTGCTGGGATTACAGGTGTGAGCCACTGCGCCTGGCTGCACAAATTTATTAATAGCAATTTACCAATGTTGCTCGCTAAAACTTTATTACTTTTTTTTTTCTTTTTTTTTTGAGACAGAGTCTCGCTCTGTCACCCAGGCTGGAGTGCAGTGGCACGATCTCAGCTCACTCTAACCTCCGCCTCCCAGGTTCAAAAGATTTTTGTGCCTCAGCCTCCTGAGTAGCTGGGATTATAGGCGTGCACCATCAAGCCTGGCTAATTTTTCTATTTTTAGGAGAGACGAGGTTTCACCATGTTGGTCAGGCTGGTCTCGAACTCCTGACCTCATGATCCCCCTGCCTCGGCCTCCCAAAGTGCTAGGATTACAGGTGTGAGCCACCACGCCTAGCCAAAACTTTATTCCTTTTAGCAATTTGTAGAATGTATAGCAATTTAATTTTTACCAAGCTTTCCCAATATTCCATTTATTTATTTATGTTTTCATTTCAGGCAATGTTTATGTCCCAAATGTCAAAAAACATTTTAAGGTTGGTTTTTCTCTTCCAACCATGTTTTTCTGGTTTTAAAAGTAATCTTTATTTTTAATTAATTTATTAATTAAATTAATATAAATTAATGTGATAGAAATTAGGATAATTTAATTACTCTTAGTTAATATGTGCATTATAAGAAACCGAAAAACACAAGAAGCAGAGAACAAGGCCGTCCACAATCACGAGCAGTTTGCAGTTGACCGTGTCCTTCCAGGTCCCGTGTATGTACAGACACAACACCCAGTGGATCGTGCTTTGTCACACAACATTCTGCCCAATTTTAAATCCGTTTTGCTGCCTCCTTGAGATTCTGTGACTCTAGTGGCTTGGTTCCCACAGGTATCTCCCTTTGCAAATCTATGCTTGAAGGTTTCTCTGTCATGCTAAGTCAGTGACTATTATTTTTCAATTCTGACATCTTTGAAATATGCAGAAGAGACCAGGCGCGGTGCTCACGCCTGTAATCCCAGCACTTTGGGAGGCCGAGGTGGGCGGATCACGAGCTCAGGAGATCGAGACCATCCTGGCTAACACGGTGAAACCCCGTCTCTACTAAAAGTACAAAAAAATTAGCCGGGCGTGGTGGCGGGCGCCTGTACTCCCAGCTACTAGGGAGGCTGAGGCAGGAGAACGGGGTGAACCCGGGAGGCGGAGCTTGCAGTGAGCCGAGATCGCGCCACTGAACTCCAGCCTGGGTGACTGAGAGAGACTCTGTCTCAAAAAAAAAAAAAAAAAAAAAAAAGAAATATGCAGAAGAGTAAAGAGAATAACAACAAACACCCATCTGCTCAATGTTCAGCTTTAGCAAATCTTAACCTTTTGCCAAATTTGCTTCAGATATTTTTTTCTCAGAAACGAAATATTACAGATACAGTTGAAGCCTCTTATACATCTATGCCTGTGATTTGACTCCTTTCCCTCTCTCTCCAGAACTTGACACGTGTCATTGCTGTGTTTGTTTTCATGCTTTTCTGTAGTGTGATGGGTCCCCAGCCAAGTTACTAAAGAGTGTGTGTCTGCTGCCTGAACCCTGAAGGCCAGGCCATGAGCCAAGGCCACAGTGCCCAGCAGAGGAGCAGGTGTCCCTCAGAACCAAGCGTCCCGGAGGGTTTCTAAGAAACTACCAAGAAAAACAGTCCATCACTCACACAGTGGGCAAAGAGCCAGAAAATTAGCTTAAAGGCAGCTCAAGAGTGTGGCCGGGCACGGCTCATGCCTGTAATCCCAGCACTCTGGGAGGTCAAGGTGGGTGGTTCACGAGGTCAAGAGATCGAGACCAGCCTGGCCAACATGGTGAAACCCCATCTCTACTAAAAATACAAAAATTAGCTGGGCGTGGTGGCATGAGCCTGTAGTCCCAGCAACTCAGAAGGCTGAGGCAGGAGAATCACTTGAATCCAGGAGGCGGAGGTTGCAGCGAGCCAAGATCACGCCACTGCACTCCAGCCTGGAGACAGAGCAAGACTCCGTCTCAAAAAAAAAAAAAAAAGAGTGGGAAAATGGGAGGCAATGCAGGTCTCTAAAGCTGTCCTGCTACTGCCCAGGAGGCCTTGTATGTAGGTCCAAATAAACTCATCTACTTGCCAAGCTGGACGTGTCTCAGTCATTCTTTGGTCTCTCAGCCTCCTCCTAGTTTGGGAAAAGGTTTTTTGTTTGTTTGTATTTTTTTAATACAATTCCAGGTTTTCTTTGTTATGTTTCTACATATCCATTGATCTATAAAGAAGGCTTAGCATTTTTTGCATATTTCTAAACCATATACAGGATATATACACATGCGTGTGTGCCACGAACCGTTTATGTCCTCCTGCAACTTCGTGTTCTTGTGATTTATCCATTCCTAAACATAGAACTGTTACTTCTTTTTTAATTGCTGTACAGCAGAGGTCCCCAAACCCCAGCACAGGTGCACAGCCTGTTAGGAAACTGCGTCACACGGCAGGAGGGGAGCAGCAGGCGGGTGAGCAAGTGAAGCTTCATCTGTATTGACAGCCGCTCCCCATCACTCGCATTACTGCTTGAGCTCCGCCTCCTGTCCGATCAGCGCCGGCACTAGATACTCATAGCTATGTGAACCCTATTGTGAACTGAGCATATGAGGGATCTAGGCTGCATGCTCCCTATGAGAATCTAATGCCTGATGATCCATCAGTGTTTCCCATCATCCCCAGATGGAACCGTCTAGTTGCAGGAAAACAAGTGCAGGGCTCCACTGATTCTACATTATGCTGAGTTGTATAATTATTTCATTATATCTTACAACGTAATAATAATAGAAATAAAGTGCACAATAAATGTGATGCACTTGAATCATCCCAAACCATCCCCCACCCCCAGTCCATGAAAAAATGGTCTTCCAGGAAACGGGTCCCTAGTGCCAGAAAGGTTGGGGACCGCTGCCGTACAGTATTCCATTTCACCAACATACTACCGTCTATCAATTCTTCTGTTCACGACCATTTAGGTTGTTTCCAATTTGTGATTACAAACAAAGCTGGAATGAATTCTGTATGTATGTGCTCTAGTCTCTAGAATATACATTATGAGAAGCGGCATTCTCAAGTTCTGGCTTATGCTCATCTCCGCCTTTGTTAGATATTGCCTCATTGTTCATCACCATCAATATTTCTGTTTATCAAGCAAGGGACGAGGGCAAGCAGCAAAAATAACACATGGTACAGGTATGTTTCAACCTGCAGGTGTGAGGGGATGCATATAGTGCCCAAGATTCTCACCATTTCATGGGGAAGAGTGCTTAGGCTAGGCATAGCTGGACACATCATGTGTTCTGTACAAGAGAGGGAATATAAAATTCCTTGTTGTCTCACGCATTTATAAAGTATTATGGAGGGCAGGCGCCGTGGCTCACGCCTGTAATCCCAACACTTTGGGAGGCTGAGGCAGGTGGATCACCTGAAGTCAGGAGTTCAAGACCAGTCTGGCCAACATGGTGAAACCCCGTCTCTACTAAAAATACAAAAATTATTCATGCGTGGTGGTGGGCACCTGTAATCCCAGCCACTCGGGAGGCTGAGGCAGGAGAACTGCTTGTACCTGGGAGGCAGAGCTCGCAGTGAGCCGAGATCACACCAATGCACTCCAGCCTGGGCAACAGAGCAAGACTCTGTCTCCAAAAAAAAAAAAAAGAATTATGGAGGAATCAGAGATCATCTGACCAAGGTGTCTTTGCAATTCAGGTTTCAGCCTTTCTGGCCTAAGAAATAATGTTAGAAACAACCCAATAATCCAGACAGTTTATACATGAGGGGGTTTGTGGCCCTCCCTGAAGAGCCAGCTTATTGCTAGGTTACCTGAAAAAAGACTCACAAGGGTCATCCACTTAACAAACTTGTTTATCCCTCTGCATTACACCTCTGGCCCTGGCGATTTATTAAACAGGCTTTCCGACCCAGGGCTTGTATTAGTTGACAACATCGTGACAAGTTTGCATCATGGGCCATGAAAGGCATAAAAGGTATTTTGAGGCTTCTGTCCATATCTGTAAAACAAAAGGAGAAATAGTCTTTAAAACATTTTTAATATAGGTTTTTAATCTATCTAGAATTTATTTTTGTTATGGAGAAAGTAGAAATTTCATTATTAAATACATACTGTTAATATTGTATCCTGCTCCTATTTATTGAATAGCTTATGCTTCCATTGATTTACAGTGCCTCCTCTGTCACATATCAAGTTTCCATATGTACATATACATGGGCCAGCTCCTGGACTGTCTGATTCTTTTGGCCTCTTTGTCTACACATAGGCTAGTACTATACACTCTTAGTTGTTCTCACTTTATAATCAATCTTAGGGTTTTTGTTTTGTTTTAGAGTCACGGTCTTGGTCTGTCACCCAGGCTGTGGTACAGTGGCATGGCCATAGCTCACTGTACCCTTGAACTCTTGGGCTCAAGAAATCCTCCCATCTCAGCCTCCCTAGTAGCTGGGACTTCAGGTGTGCACCATGACACCTGGTCAATCCTTTTTATAGATCTTTTATAATGTTTTAAATAAGCTTTTTTCTAGGGCTGGAGTCTCACTATGTTGCCAAGGCTGAGCTCGTATTCCAGATCTCAAGTGATCTTCCTGGGATCGTAGGCTGGGATTACAGGCATGAGCCCTGTGATCACGGCTCACCGCAGCCTCTGTCTCCTGGGCCCAACTCCTGATCTTGAACTCCTTGGCTCAAGTGATCCTCCCACCTCAGCCTCCCAAGTAGCTGGGACTACATGCACACACCACTATGCTGGCTAATTTTTTTGCATTTTTTTGTACAGACAGGGTTTCACCACATTGCCCAGGGTGGTCTTGAACTCCTGGGCTCACGCAATCCGCCTGCCTTGGCCTCCCAAAGTGCTGGGATTACAAGCATAAGCCAGGGTGCCCAGCCCCAGTCTTCATTTTGAAAGAGCAATTCCCTCAAACTTTTGGTTTTAAAAAATTGTTTTGGTTATTCTTGGCCCTTTACTCTTCTATATAGATTTTAGAACGTACCTTGTGAAGTCACCTGGAAGTTCTGTTGGGATTTTTATTGAAAATTGAAAATATAAATCAATATGCATGTTGAATCAATAGACTTGGGAAGAATTGGTATCTTTATGATGAAATGCATTCTCATCCATGACTGTAGCATATCTTCATCATCTTTTATGTCATTCAATATTGTCTTTGAAGATCCAATAAAAAGATAGGGTTCTCTGCTTGGGTTTGGCCCCTGTAGAGGCCAAAATATTATCTTTATTGCTGGTAGCGACCAGGTTAGAGGACGTAGCTTTAGGTCTGTTAGCTGAGTGTTTAGTAGATCAAGGCAACAAATATACAAACAATTTGATAAACATATATATATATATATAAAACACCGCCAGCAGTTTGCTCCCCAAAAAGAAAAGCAGAACTAACATATCCAGATTATTCTTCCTAAATTTACTATTTAACATCACTCTGTCCTCCAAGGAGCAGAATGAGTAAAGAGGCAGAGAGACTGAGACTATCACACCAATAGAGGTCCTTGAAATGAATGGAAATCTTAGGAGTAGGAACTAAGCATGCTTTCCTCACAGGCATCTAAGTTGTTTGTGTACAGATCCTTTGCCCATTTAAAAAATGAGTAATTTGGCCGGGTGGAGTGGCTCATGCCTGTAATCCTAGCACTTTGGGAAGTCGAGGTGAGCAGATTGCCTGAGCTCAGGAGTTCAAGACCAGCCCGAGCAACATGATGAAACCCCGTCTCTACTAAAAATATTTAAAAAATTAGCTGGGCATGGTGGTACACACTTGTAATCCCAGTTACTTGGGAGGCTGAGGCACAAGAATTGCTTGAGCCTGGGAGGCAGAGGTTGCAGTGAACTGAGATTGCACCACTGCACTCCAGCCTGGGTGACAGATTGAGACTCTGTCTCAAAAATAAAAAATAAAATAAACTAAAATAAAAAATGCGTAATTTGTCTTTTTATTGTTGAGTTGAAGTCCAATTTATTTACTTCTTTTGTCACTTGGGCTTTTGGTTTCATATCTAAGAAACCATTGTCTAGTTCAAAGTCACAAAGATTTACTCCTTTGTTTTCTTCAAAGGGTTTTACAGTTTGATCTCTCACATTTAGGTCTATGAGAATTTAGAATTATTTTTTTGTTTATGGTGTGAGGTAGGAATTCAACTTCATTCTCTTACATGTGGATATTCACATGAACTATAATCTGTTCAATCATTTCTCCTTTACTGTTATTTTCTTCTGAGGCTTTTAAAAGGGGATATATTAGAGACCCAATGTATTGTCTCGATTGCCTAGCTGATGTCACATATTTTTTACTTGAAAAAATGTCTTTATCGTGTTTACTGCTCTGTCTTGTGTTAATTCACAAATTTTCTCTTTGTGCTCAGTATGGAGTTTATTCTATTAGATTTTAAAAGTCATTAAACATATGTCATGTTCGTAAGATTTCTAACCCATTTTTTTCTCATTTAAAAATAAACTAATGAATTTACTATTTTTGAATATGAAACATAGGCACACAGCACAGAATTCAAAGAATAAAAAATACAATGATGAGGTTATTGGCTTTAAAAATATTTACCTGTTCTTGTTTCATTTTTGTTAGTTCTTGTTTCATAACTTTGTTATAATGTGTGTTATTTATAGAGCTATAAGTGTGTGTGCAGGGGGAGTTGGTAGAAGACAACATAGGTCACAGCCTGTGCAAGGAAGAATAGTGGGAGACAGAAATAAAGAGGTAAGTTGGGGTCAGTTTGTGGACTTTGGAATAAAAGGGAAGAAAACAGTTGTCGAAGAGTATGAAGCTTATTATCTTAGCCATGTAGTCTTTGAATAATTTTTTTACCACTTAATAAACATTGTGCTTTAAGAAGGCTAAAATGCTTCAGATATACCAAAGGGAGGAGATGGGTAGTCTAGGCCTCATTAAAAGGCTTCCATCTCAGGTGGGTACCCAACCACCTTATACTTCCTTGACCCCTTTTCACAGGCCTGTATGCTGATTATAAGCCAGACGTTTCAGACATTTTGTGAAAAGATTTTAGTGTCTGGCTATATTTAAATGCTCTGTTTTATCACTTACCCTTCAAAGTCCCCTCCTCTCCTGCCCCTGATGTGGCCACTCTGAAAGGAGTCCCTCTCCCCGGGATCCAACAGTGTTCTCCCAGCAGGGGGCAGCAGCGGCACATGTCAGGTGCCCAGGGGAGGGTGGGGTGCCAAGGGGTGCCCTGTGGGGAGGAGCTTGCATGAGGAAACACATGGAATGGAAAAAGTAAACTAGTTCCTCAGTCCCACTTCAGAGTCAAACCCGCACCTGTGGTGAGTTGAGCCACAAATATGTTTTCTCTAAAGCTGGCAGCCGTTTATTTTGGAAGGAGGAAGATGCACTCAATACTATTGAGGACCTGGCTTTTTTTTCTTTGCTTTTTCCTAATTTCTTATCCTCTGCTTCGGCCATAAATGTTCTAGTTTCTCTCACTCTTCTCTTTCCCTTCCTTCATGTCCAACATTTTCCCATTTTTTTCCCAATGGTCAGGAGTATAGGTCTGGCCAAATAATCACCTTCTAGTAATAAGAATATTTCTGGAAATAAGAAACACAGCATAAGGGAAGGGAAAAGCTGGTTGGCTCCCCCAGTTCCTCACCTACCCCAGAGGCATCACACTGATCTCCAAGACTATCATCACCCGGAAGGCAAAGGCCTCTCACAATTTCTTACACATCTCTATGTTCCCCACTCACTTGCTAGACTGGATGAGAACATAGACACCCACCTGCAATCTGGTCTATAGCTTTGTCCACACCCGCATGGCATGTGGAGAAGGAATGCCTGGGGGTAGGACCTGGGGGGCTGGGGATCAAAACACTGTAATGAGGGGTAGTTTTGCAGAAATCCCCAAAAATGTGATCCTAGGACCTTCTCACTGCTTCTCCCTGAAATCCACTGTTACAATGCCCTTATACTATCTCGGTATCTAGGTGTACCACAGTAGAGGCAGCGTGGTAACTGTGTGACCTCTAACCTAGTCCCACCATGGCCAAGGTGACAAACATGTACATGGGAGTTTATCATCTTGGGCGTGGTTGAACTAGGTTAGAGGTCACATAGTTAATTTTGGGCAAGTCACTTGCCTTCTCTGGGCCTCAGTTTTCTTTTCTTTTTTTTTTCTGAGACAGAGTCTCACTCTGTTGCCCAGGCTGGAGTGCAGTGGCGTGATCTCAGCTTACTGCAAGCTCCACCTCCCGGGTTCATGCCATTCTCCTGCCTCAGCCTCCCGAGTAGCTGGGACTACAGGTGCCCACCACCATGCCCGGCTAATTTTTTTGTATTTCTAGTAGAGACGGGGTTTCACCGTGTTAGCCAGGATGGTCTCGATCTCCTGACCTCGTGATCTGCCCGCCTCGGCCTCCCAAAGTGCTGGGATTACAGGCGTGAGCCACCACGCCCGGCCCTCAGTTTTGTTATCTATAAATGGGTATTAATAATGCCTTTCATAAATATCTCACAGAGGACGGGCGCAGTGGCTCATGCCTGTAATCTCAACACTTTGGGAGGCCAAGGCTGGAGGATTGCTTGAGGCCAGGAGTTTGAGACCAGCCTGGGCAACAAAGTAAGACCCCATCTCCACAAAAAATAAGAATTAGCTGGGCATAGTGGTGCATGCCTGTAATCCTAGCTACTTGGGAGGCTGAGGCAGGAGGATCCCTTGAGCCCAGAAGGTGGAGGCTGCAGTGAGCTGTGATCGTGCCACTAGACTCTAGTATGGTGACAGAGTGGCGCCTTGTCTCTAAAATATAATAAAAATAAATACCTCACAGACGTGAGATACTCAAGTAAGATAATAATGTGAAAAGTTTGCATTTATGGTGGAGTGTTTTTAAAACATTATTTATCATTACTAGCTCTTTTTCAAGAGCACTTTGGCCCTTGTCTCATGGGCATGTTGCTTGAATTTCAGCCAAAGGATTAGGTGTTGGGACAAGTTGGCTTAAAAACATCTTTTAAAATTTATTTTAATTTATTTTTAGAGATATGGTCTCTCTATGTTGCCCAGGCTGGTCTTGAATTCCTGGCCTCAAGCCATCCTCCTTGCCTCAGCCTCCCAAAGTGCTGGGATTACAGGCATGAGCCACCAGGCCAGGCCAAAAATTTCTTATCTTTAATTATTACGGATACATAATAGTTGTACGTCTTTCAAATTGAACTCTTGAGGGGTCCAGGGCCATTGAGAGGAAAGACAGCACAGAACCAGGTGGATTTATTTCTAGGGATTTGGCTCCTAGCCCCTTGTCAGGGAAGGTGGCTTCTTTCTTTCCCTGGGGCCAAGAGAGACTAATAGGGAGATGTATCTCTAGAATCCTAGGTCTGAATGAGACGCCAATGGGTCATTGGTTTTAGGTGTTTTTTTGTTTTTGTTTTTGCCCCTCAGGTAAGGCTACATCGAAACCACACTAAGAGGATCAGAAAGAATATATGTTAAATGTTTCCAAGGAGATTCTATATTCTTTCCAGGTAATTCAGGACTAAGGATGTTTTACAGCGAGTTCTTCTTTTTAGCCTTTTGGCTGCAATTGAGGGTTGAAAATGCTTTGAGGGTAGTCTATTCATCTTTATATCCTGTCCAAACCCAGCACAAACAGGCCCTAGGGTCCCGTCTATTGACCTGAACTGCATTGTTCTGCTCTGCCTGGAGCTAGGAAATATGCTGGTCACTATTTTTTGTTGGCTTTAAATATAGTATTTGCAAAGTTCAAAACAAATCTTATGATCATTTGGCTTGTGGCTTCTCTCCTAAATCTCCCTCCTTTTAGAATGGTCAGGATGGGAGGAGGACGTGCCAAGACTGAGCTTCTGTTTCTTTTCAAGGACAGTCCCTGCAATGGCTTCGTTTGACCTACCCTCCCTTTTCTTATCAAATGAAATCAGCTACCACAGGAAATTGACTTCTCCAGATTGTAGGAGACAGGAAGCAGCACCACAAAGCAGGTTCCAGGGAGGGAAGGCAGAGATGAGAGAAACAGCTCGAGTCCCAGCTCGGTCAGTGCCTGGCCCCGGCCTCGCTTTCCGCCTCTCTGTCTCATTCTTACCATCTCTAGCCTCACCTACCCTTCTTCTGGGTCCTGGTGTCTGAGGCTGAAAGGCGCTGTAGAAGTCTCCAAGGCCAGCCTCCCTCCCCACTCAGTCACTCCCAACAAGCCTTCCAGCCTGTGCTTGACCCTTCCAGGCATGGAAATTTTACTGCTTCCCCTAAGAAACCAGCTCTGTTTTGCCTTTTATCCATCTGAAACCTCCCTCCTCCAGTGTTCTTCCACTGGCCTCACTTTTCCTTGGGACAGCCCTTTCCATACCTGAGTCTCCAGGCTAAGCCCTCCCGGGGAGGTCTCTTGGTAGAGGCATGAGTTTCTCAGAAACTCAACCAGAGGGAGTCAGGAAGGGGTCTAAGCAGGAAGGAAAAGGTGAGAACAATGCCATCGTGGGCCCTTTCCTTGCCAAGGAGTTATGTGTGGTGGCTTTAACTTGATGTTTAGTACAACTTCAACGTGCTTTTCTTCTCCTGCATGACTACTGCCTTGTGGGAAGAGTGTCTTCTCTTTTAGCTCACTTCATTAATTTTTTATGAAATATCTAAATACATATATAAAGGTGTCATGACATTCCACTCCTAAATACTTCAGTGTGTATCTTTAAGACGTAAGAATATTGGCCGGGAGCGGTGACTCATGTCTGTAATCCCAGCACTTTGGGAGGCCAAGGTGGGTGGATCACCTGAGGTCAGGAATTCAAGACTAGCCTGGCCAACACGGTGAAACTCCATCTCTACTAAAAATACAAAAATTAGCCAGGCGTGGTGGTGGGTGACTCCAATCCTAGCTATTCCAGAGGCTGAGACATGAGAATCACTTGAACCCGGGAGGCGGAGGTTGCAGTGAGCCGAGATCACACCATTGCACTCCAGTGTGGGTGACAAAGCGAGACTTTGTCTCAAAAAAAAAAAAAAAAAAAAAAAAAAAAAAGAATATGTTCTGCATAGCCAAAATCAAAATATAACACCCAACAAAATTAACTATAACCTCCCGACATTATTTAATACTTAATCCACAAAATTTCCCCAGTTGATTCCAAAATGTCCTTTACTGCTGTTTTGTTCAAACCAGGATCCAATCCAGGACCACGCATTTCATCTGGTTGTTATGGAACTTAGGGCTCTTTTATGGATGATGCTGATAAATAGAAGGAAGCTTCATTGTTAAAGTGCTCTCTTTTTAAAAATTCATATCAGGGCCAGGTGCAGTGGCTCACGCCTGTAATCCCAGCACTTTGGGAGGCCGAGGCAGGCGGATCACCCGAGGTCAAGAATTCAAGACCAGCCTGGGCAATGTGGTAAAACCCTGTCTTGACTAAAAATGCAAAAATTAGCCGAGCATGGTGGTACACACTTGTAATCCCAGCTACTTGAGAGACTGAGGCAGGAGAATGGCTTGAACCCAGGAGGCGGAGGTTGCGGTGAGCTGAGACCACGCCGCTGTTCTCTAGCCTGGGCAACAGAGTGAGACTCCATCTCAAAATAAAATAACATAAAATAAGTAATCAGGCTGGGCACAGTGGCTCACTCCTGCAATCCCAGCACTTTGGGAGGCTGAGGGGGCAGATCGCTTGAGGCCAGGAGTTTGAGACCATCCTGGGCAACCTCGTCTCCTCAAAAAATACAAAAATTAGCTGGGCGAGGTGGCGCATGCCTGTGGTCCCAGCTACTCGAGAGGCTGAGGTGGGAGGATCCTTTGAGTCCAGGAGGCAGTGGTTTCAGCAAGCCGAGATCATGCCACTGCACTCTAGCCTGCGCCACAGAACCAAACCGTCTAAAAAAGAAAGAAAGAAAAAAGAAAAACCAAACAAAATACATATCATATATCATCAACATAGTTCATTACGCCATTATTATATCATCAGTATAGTTCACATTACACATCACATGACAGTGGTACCACTCAGACGCCATGAACCTTCTACTTGAGACAGTTAAATTCAAGAATAATTTTTTTGGCCGGGTGCGGTGGCTCATGTCTGTAATCCCAGCACTTTGGGAGGCTGAGGTGGGCGGAGCACCTAAGGTCAGGAGTTCGAGACCAGCCTGGCCAACATGGTCAAACCCCATCTCTACTAAAAATACAAAAATTAGCTGGGTGTGGTAGCCGGCGCCTATAATCCCAGCTACTTGGGAGGCTGAGGCAGGAGAATTGCTTGAGCCCAGAAGGCAGAGGTGGCAATGAGCCGAGATCATGCCACTACACTCCAACCTGGGCAACAGAGCAAGACTCCATCTCAAAAAAATAAGATTAAAAAAAAAAGGATAAATTTTACAAGACTCCATCTCAAAAAAAAAAAATTTTTTTTTTTTTTTTTTTTGAGATGGAGTCTGGCTCTGTCACCCAGGCTGGAGTGCTGTGGTGCAATCTTGGCTCACTGCAACCTCTACCTCCCAGGCTTAAATGTTTCTCCTGCCTCAGCTTCCCAAGTAGCTGGGACTACAGGCGCATGCTACCACATCCAGCTAATTTTCGTATTTTTAGTAGGGACGGGGATTCACCATATTGGGCAGGCTGGTCTCAAACTCCTGACCTTATGATCCGCCTGCCTTGGCCTCCCAAAGTGCTGGGATTACAGGTGTGAGCCATAGTGCCCAAGAATAATTTTTTTCAAGAAGTATTCAGTCTATAGAGTCCCAGTAACAGAGGTAATAAACATACACATGGTAGTATTTCAAATTCATGAATTTGTTCAGCTTGGGAGCAATGGGAATTTAGCTTTTTCTTTTATCTTTTTTTTTTTTGAGATGGAGTCTTGCTCTGTTGCCCAGGCTGGAGTGCAATGGCACAATCTCGGCTCACTGCAACCTCTGCCTCCTGGGTTCAAGCAGTTCTCCTGCCTCAGCCTCCCGAGTAGCTGGGATTACAGGAGCCCGCCATCACACCTGGCTAATTTTCGTATTTTTAGTAGAGATGGGGTTTCACCATGTTGGTCAGGCTGGTCTCAGACTCCTGACCTCTAGTGATCTGCCCACCTTGGCCTCCCAGAGTGCTGGGATTACAGGCGTGAGCCACCGTGCCCAGCCTAGAGCTTTTTCATGTTTATTTATTTATTTATTTATTTATTTATTTATTTATTTTCAGAATAACCTGAAATTTATTCTAGTTATATTGGAAAAAAGAAAATCCTCAATCACTATCCACATCATACAACATACCAATTCTGACTCAAATGCCGACCTACATTTTTTTTTTTAGACTGATGGGGTATATGCGCATGTTTGTTACATGGTTTTTTGTTTGTTTGTTTGTTTTTGTTTTTTTTCTTTTTTTTGAGACAGAGTCTTGCTCTGTTGCCCAGGGTGGAGTGCAGTAGCACGATCTCAGCTCACTGGAACCTCTGCCTCCTGGGTTCAAGTGATTCTCCTGCCTCAGCCTCCTAAGTAGCTGGGACTACAGGCACCCGCCACCACGCCTGGCTAATTTTTGTATTTTTTTAGTAAAGTCAGGGTTTCATCATGTTGGTCAGGCTGGTCTTGAACTACTGACCTCAAGTGATCCTCCCACCTTGGCCTCCCAGAGTGCTGGGATTCCAGGTGTGGGCCACCGCACCTGGCCACATGGGTTATATCGCATTATGGTGAGGACTGGGCTTCTGGTGTACCCATCACCCAATAGTGCACATTGTACCTAATAGGTAATTTTTTGCCCCTCATCCCTCCCACCCTCCCCCCTTCTGGAGTCCATTCCATCTTCATGTCCATGTGTGCCCATTGTTTAGTTCCCACTTAGAAGTAAGAACATGCAGTATTGGAGTTTCTGTTTCTGAGTTAGTTCACCTAGGATAATGGCCTCCAGCTCCACCTATGTTGCTGCAAAGGACATAATTTCATTTTTTTTTTTTTTTTGAGACAGAGTCTTACGCTGCCACCTAGACTGAAGTGAAGTGATGCGATCTCAACTCACTGCAACCTCCGTCTCCCTGGTTCAAGCGATTCTCCTGCCTCAGCCTCCTGAGTAGCTGGGATTACAGGTGCGCGCCACCATGCCCGGCTAATTTTTGTATTTTCAGGTGAGACGGGGTTTCGCCATGTTGGCCAGGCTGGTCTCACACTGCTGGCCTCAAGTGGTCCACCTGCCTCAGGCTCCTAAAGTGCTGGGATTACAGACGTGAGCCACCGCGCCCGGCCACATTTCGTTCATTTTTATGGCTGCAGTTACAGTGTTCTAGCTGGTTCTTCTGTGTCCTTTATTTCCTATAAATGATCAATGAGATGTTAACATTTGATTTAATTCAAGTTAGACACTTTTAGCAAGGATATATCCTAAGTGCTGCTGGGTGCTTCGTGCGCACCATGGTGGAAGACATATTCTGGTTGTTCTCCCATCAGTGATGCTAATATTAACCCCTGCATTAGTGCTAACAGTGTGACCCTCTGATTGTGACCCCTTGATTGTGACCCCTTTATTGTGACTCCTTTATTGTGTTTCTTTTCCTCTCTTGTGACCAAAGAGAAGTCTGCATGGTTGCTGTTGCATCACACAAATGTCAGGTGATGTTTATTTTATTTTATTTATTTTTTTTGAGACGGAGTTTTGCTCTTGTTGCCCGGGCTGGAGTGCAGTGGCGCAATCTCGGCTCACTGCAACCTCCGCCTCCTTGGTTCAAGCAATTCTCCTGCCTAAGCCTCCCAAGTAGCTGGGATGACAGGCATGCACCACCACGCCTGGCTAATTTTTTTTTTTTTTTTTTTTTTTGGATTTTTAGTAGAGATGGGGTTTCTCCATGTTGGTCAGGCTGGTCTCGAACTCCCAACCTCAAGTGATCTGCCTGCCTCGGCCTCCCAAAGTGCTGGAATTACAGGCGTGAGTCACCGCACTCAGCCAAGTGATGTTTATTTAAAAGTCACAATTGGTCAGAAAAAGAAAAGGCAGATATGTTAGGATTCTCAAGGACATATATACAGAGAAAGAGATATTTTTAAGGAATTGGTTCACATAGATTATGGAGGTGGGCTAGTCCAAAATCTGCAGCGTGAGCTAGCAGGCTGGAGAACTTCCTCTTCCTCCAGGGAGCAGTCTTTTTGTTTCAGGCCTTCAGCAGACTGGATGAGGCCCACTCGCATTATGGAGGGTAATCTGCTTTGCTTAAAGTCCACTGATTTAAATGTTAATCTTATCCAAAAATATCCTCACAAAGACATCCGGAATAATGTTTAACCACATACTGCTCTGAAAAGTCAATGGGTTCATTTTTTTTCTATTAAAAAACCCCACCACATATCTCGGCATTGTGGCCCAGCTAAGCTGACATGTAAAATTAAGATATCACAGCAGCGCTGAGAGATGGAGCTTCCGTCTCTGCTACTGTGTTCTGTTCTTGTGTAAATAATGTAACACTTAGGGCCTCAGTTTTCCTCTCTGTAAAACAAAGGGTTTGGACTAAAAGATCTCTAAGTTCCCTTCCAGCTTTAAAGTTCTTTTAAAAATTGTGGTAGGACAGGCATAGTGGCTCGCGCCTGTAATCCCAGCAATTTGGGAGGCCGAGGCGGGCAGATTGCTCGAGGTCAGGAGTTCGAGACCAGCCTGGCCAATATCGTAAAACCCCCATCTCTACTAAAAACAAAAATTAGCCGGGTGTGGTGGTGGGCACCTGTAATCCCAGCTACTCAGGAGGCCGAAGCAGGAGAATTGCTTGAACCCGGGAGGCGGAGGTTGCAGTGAGCCGAGATCGCGCCATTGCACTGCAGCCTGGGCGATAAGAGTGAAACTCTGTCTCAAAAAAAAAAAAAAATCGTGGTAAAATACATGTAACAAAAAATTACCATCTTAACCATTTGTAACAGTACAGTTCAACAGTGTTAAGTGTATCCCCACTGTTGTTCAATCTCCAGGAGTGTTTCATCTTTCAGAATGAACTCTCCATACACTAAACATTTATTTCTCCCTCTCCACAGCCCCTGGATGCTTTCAATGCTTGTGGGTATATTCCCATAAGCAGAATTGCTGGGTTCTGTGGTAATTCTTATTATAAGGTTTTAGGGAGCTATCACACTGTTTTCTATACTGGCAGCACCATTTTATATTCCCACCAGTAGTGCACAGGACTTCCAGGTTCTCTACATCTTTTCTAACACTTGTTGCTTTCAGGTTTGTGTGTATGTTTTTTTGTTTTTGTTTTTGTTTTGTTTTTGTTTGTTTTGGTTTTTTTTTTTTTTGAGACGGAGTCTCCCTTTATCACCAGGCTGGAGTGCAGTGGTGTGATCTTGGCTCACTGCAACCTCCGCCTCCCGGGTTCAAGTGATCCTCCTGCCTCAGCCTCCTGAGTAGCTGGGATTACAGGTGCCAGCCACCACGCCCGGCTAATTTTTGTATTTTTAGCAGAGACGGGGTTTCACCATGTTGGCCAGGATGGTCTCCATCTCTTGACCTCGTGATCCACCCGCCTTGGCCTCCCAAAGTGCTGGGGTTACAGGCATGAGCCACTGCGCCAAGCCTTGTGTGTGTGTTTTATAGCAGCCATCCTCATAGGTATAAGGTGATATCTCATTAAGATTTTGATTTGCATTTTCCTAATGATTAGTGCTGTTGAGCATCTTTTCGTAGGTTTGTTAGTCATTTGTTTATCTTTTTTGAAGAATTGTCTACTTAAGCCCTTTGCCCATTTTTAAATGAGGTTGTTTTTGTTGTTGTTGAGTTATAAAAGTTCTTTATATATTCTGGATATTAACTCCTTATCAGATGTGTGATTCACAAATGTTTTCTCCCGTCTCATGGTTTGTCTTATCCCTCTGTTGATTGCGTCCTTTAATGCACATAAACTTCTTTAAGCCTGTGAAATTTGGGGTTGCAACTCTTCCTCCCATCTGTGGCCCATGGCTGCAGGCTGAGGACCTTAACCTCTCTGTCCTAAATGAGTGGTATGCCTGCCCTCCTATCTCTTTGATGATACATATTTCAGAATAGAACTCTAAGTTCTTATTGCTGGAATCAACTTTGGAATTCTTGTCCAACCTCATTTTACTCATGGACAAACAAGGCCCTTTGTGAGCAACAGAGCTGGATCTAAAGTGTGAGCTTCTCTCTCCTTCCGGCGCTCTCTGCACTGCGATGCAACTCGACAAGTCAGCTGGTCTTTGTAATGAACTCCTCAGGAAACACAAGCAATTACAGGAAAAGACAACCAGGCTATTAAGAGGGAATTTTATTCTATTGAAACTCTGTTATGGGGAAACGTGTGTGTTTGTTATAGGTAATCTATTTACATTTTCAAAAACCTTTTTTTTTTTGGTAATTATTTTATTTTATTTTATTTTTTTATTGATCATTCTTGGGTGTTTCTCGCAGAGGGGGATTTGGCAGGGTCATAGGACAATAGTGGAGGGAAGGTCAGCAAATAAACAAGTGAACAAAGGTCTCTGGTTTTCCTAGGCAGAGGACCCTGGGGCCTTCCGCAGTGTTTGTGTCCCTGGGTACTTGAGATTAGGGAGTGGTGATGACTCTTAACGAGCATGCTGCCTTCAAGCATCTGTTTAACAAAGCACATCTTGCACCGCCCTTAATCCATTTAACCCTGAGTGGACACAGCACATGTTTCAGAGAGCACAGGGTTGGGGGTAAGGTCACCGATCAACAGGATCCCAAGGCAGAAGAATTTTTCTTGGTACAGAACAAAATGAAAAGTCTTTCAAAAACCTTTTTACTTTCTAAAAGCAACTACACATATTCTAGGACTGCAAGTGCTGTTTTCTGGTAAACGGGGAGTTGCTTAGAAACCAGGAATGAGGGATGGAGACCAACGGTCTTCTGTGGATGAAGTATAAACAGTAACTCTTCTAAGGAATCAGTACTAACCTTGGGAAGAAGATGAGCATGATTTTTCTCTGTACAACCTCTACCCCTCTTCTGATGAAAGCACCTGCTTTTCTTTAGGGCCTACTCCATCAACAGGAGCCCATGTCGTTTGGGTGGAGCTTCAGGAATCGGCATATGAGTCAGTCCAGAAAAATAGGCACATCCCACCCGCCAACCACAGTGACTGATTGCGGAAGAGGCACTTGACCCCAGGTCACACAAGGGGGTTCCGTCCTGGGACTTTTGCTGCACTGTTTTGAAAGAGGCCTCTTTCCCCCTGGTATTGCTAGACTAGCAGGCCATGGGCCCGAAACTGCCAGAACGCACCCTTGATGCCACCCGGGTAGAGTCAGGGGAGAGCAGGGCTGAGAGTTGGAGACACAGATTCCTGAAAGCATTGTTTGAGCGCGTGGATCCAGTCTTGCTTTAAATCAGACTTTTTAGTAACATGAACCGATCAATTCCTCTGCTACACCAGTTTGAGTTGGGTTTCTATCACTAGTGATTAAAAGAGTCCTCATTAGTCCAGATTGTACTTTAAGTTGCTTGTATACATTATCTGGAGGAGAGTATAAAAATAATAGGCTATAAATAGTGAGACTAATATTAAGTTATTTTAGGTAATAAAAAGTCAAACTGATGGGAATAGTTCTGTGGGGAAATTGTGTGAAGCTATGTTAACAGTAAGAAAAGTGACTAGGTTTTGGTGTAAGTAAATGCCTGGTCACACATTCGGGAAATAATAATTTAAGTTCTATTTCTAGTATGACACATTGCAAGGCAAAGAATAAGTCATTAAGGGCTCTTTAAGAACATTCAGTGCAAAGATGCTACTGCACATAACATATTAGAAAAGTATAATAGAAGTAAAACAGGTGACAACGTTTAAAAAAACAAACAAACAAAAAAAAACAGGTGGCCAGATGCAGTGGCTCACGCCTGTAATCCCAGCACTTTAGGAGGTCGAGGTGGGCAGATCACTCGAGGTCAGGAGATCAAGACCAGCCTGAGCCAACATGGTGAAACCCCATCTCTACTTAAAAAATAGAAAAAAAAAAATTAGCGGGGGGTGGTGGTGCACGCCTGTAATCCCAGCTACTCGGGAGGCTGAGGCAGGAGAATCACTTGAATCCGGGAGGCGGAGGTTGCAGTGAGCCAAGATCACACCACTGAACTCCAGCCTGGGCGACACAGCAAGGATCTGTCTCAACACAAAACAAAACAAACAAACAAAACCAACAGGTAACATTCATCCCACTGTTGCATAGAATCACAACGGGCCGGATGTATTCCGTCTGAGCTTCCAGATCCACTGTCTACCCTCTCCCACCCTGCTCTCTGCTCAGCAGACCTGTGTCCTTTGTCCTCTAGCTGGGGTCCCTAAACAGGGATCCCCGTCAGGGAGGGGAGAGTGGTCGCGTGTTTGCTCCCCTGGTTTCCTCCTGCAGGGCTTCCTCGGGGAGCTGCTTCCCTAGATCAGGGGTCACAGGGCTTCTCCAGTAGCCTCTCCAGGCGCCTGTGGACTCTCACCTTTTGGGCTCTGATCATTGTTGCCTCCCCCAGACCTAGGGAAGTAACAGCCCTTTGGGGCAAGTCCTGGGCTCCCGCTTTGCCGTGACCACACTGGGTACTAGTCCCTTTATTAAACTCTCCTCAAATTGCCTAACTTGCAGATGGCAACTGTTTCCTATGATATGACATAATATATCATAACGCACGTTCTTTTTTTTTTTTGAGACAGAGTTTTGCTCTGTTGCCCAGGCTGGAGTGCAGTGGCTCAATCTCAGCCGCTCACTGCAACCTCCGCCTCCCGGGTTCAAGCGATTCTCCTGCCTCAGCCTCCCTAGTAGCTGGGATTACAGGCACTCGCCACCATGCCAGGCTAATTTTTGTGTTTTTAGTAGAGATGGGGTTTTGCCATATTGGCCAGGTTGGTCTCAAACTCTTGACCTCAGGTGATTTACCCGCCTTGGCCTCCCAAAGTGCTGGGATTACAGGCGTGAGCCACCGTGCCTGGCCACGCAACGCACATTCTATGTCCACATTTGGAAAATTACCTTTGATTGTGAGTGTTCAGCCTCAAGAAAACAGCAAGGCAGGCAAAGTCTAAAGGAGGGGAAGTGAAGAGATCAAGAGCTGGGAGTGTGAGCTAGAACAGTCATATCGGGACCGATTAAATGTGATGCCTGAACTTATAATCTTCATATGAATAACTGATCGGTTTGATTATAGACTAGAATGTTAGTAAAGGGAGGACATCTTACACCTGGAGATATGCTTTAAATAAATAAAATGGAGTATTACCTCGTGCAGAAGGTTGTACACTCACGAAATTCATTACTCTAAGAGGCAGTACAATTTGAAAGTAAAAATCAATTCCAAAATGCTTTAAATACACAAATGAAGGAGTTTTAAGTCACCCAGGGAAACCTGAATTTTGAGGTTAATATCAAGATGTGAGAGGGGTAAATGGACTAGAGCTGATCTGGAAATTTTTATGTTTAATAATAAATGAAATTTTGAATATAAATAAAACTTAGGTTAGCTTTTCATTTTCCACCTTAGTTGGCCCTTCTGAAAACATTCACCTTATATAATACATTTACCTCTTTCATTTGAATTCTGAACTACTATCTGCTGCCCTCTCAGGACGTTTTAACCTGGAGTCCATGGATTCAAGGGGTCTATGGATAGAATTGTATTTCAATGTAGTCTATTTCTTCTCCTTGAGTATGTATTTCATTTTCTACATTTAAAAACGTGATTCTGAGGAGTCCACAGGAGTTGCCAGAGTACCAGAGGGTTGTGTGGCAAGTCAAGTTTAAGATTCCCTTGTAGGCCAGGTGCGGTGGCTCACACCTGTAATCCCAGCACTTTGGGACGCCGAGGAGGGCGAATCATGAGGTCAGGAGTTCAAGACCAGCCTGGCCAACATGGTGAAACCCTGTCTCTACTAAAAATACAAAAATTAGCCAGGTGTGGTGGCGGGCTCCTGTAATCCCAGCTACTCGGGAGGCTGAGGCAGGAGAACTGCTTGAACCCCGGAGGCGGAGGTTGCAGTGAGCCGAGATCACGCCACTGCACTCCAGCCTGGGTGACAGAGCAAGACTCCATCTTGAAAAAAACAAAGATTCCCTTGTAGACCAAACCAGCTGTCTGGGCTTCCCAGGGGGTAACAGAGAAGGGCACTGCCTTGCTTCACAATTCTTGTAAGGATCCTGGTTACCAGGGCACTTCCCAGCCTTTGGAGAGACGGGGATCTCTCTCCACTTTGGTGTGGATGCAGAAGCACAGAGACTAGAGTTGAGGCAGAAACAAGTAAGAGGCTCTCCCAGCCCAGGGCCTGTTTGGGAAGGAGGAAGCTGAGCTGCCAGGGCCATCTTCCAGGCCCAGTACAGGCGGCACCTCCCTTCCTGATTGCTGCCAACATAGACTCTCTCTGCAGTTCCACTCTCTGATCCCATCCTGCACAACTGGATGCACTTTTGGACCACGCACTGGGACAAAACTGAATTTAAAAATTTAAATTAGGCCAGGCGCAGTGGCTCATGCCTGTCATCCCAGCACTTTGGGAGGCTGAGGTGGGCAGATCACCTGAGGTTGGGAGTTTGAGACCAGCCTGGCCAACCCAGAGAAGCCCCATCTCTACTAAAAATACAAAATTAGCTGGGCATGGTGGTGCATGACTGTAATCCCAGCTACTCAGGAGGCTGAGGCAGGAGAATTGCTTCAACCCGGTAGGTGGAGATTGCAGTGAGCTGAGATCATGCCACTGCACTCTAGCCTGACAAAGAGAAACTTCGTCTCAAAAAAAAAAAAAAATTAAATGAAAAATAATTGATCCTAGTGAAAAAGATTTCAGTGGAATAAAGATAGACAAAAATGGAAATGTTTCAAATGAGTGTCATGGAAAGATGACCAAAGAATTCAACTGACTGTGTGAGTTTGTTCCAGAAAACATGTTCTTTAGAACAAAACGTTCTTTAGTTCCCTACAGGGACTCCTAGTGACCACCGCCATCTCATTAATAAGTGGCTTTGATTCTTGGACTCAGTAAACAAAATGGCTTGAGGCGTGTGGAACTGAGTGTCTTTACTCTTTTGAAAATTGTACTAAATGCTTGTCCCTAAGAGGTTTAGCCCTTAGACAATGCATGGAGGGAAATTATTTGCAAAACTCCCCACTCTCTGGAAAATCATTTGTTCTGGTCAGATTCCTGGAATTCATATACAGATACTGGGGTCTCTCACAGTTTTTTCTGCCACTTTGGGTTAACTTTTCCTCCGGGCGTTTCAGTTCTAAGAATGCTCCCTTTGACAGGGAAAAACAGAAGCAAAATACACATTGAGGAGTTCTGCTTTCTCTTGTCACCCACCAACATGACAACACTGACCGCAAACAGCGTATCCCCTTTTTTGCTTTGAATATGACTTTATGAAGCCCTTGTACGGGCCTCAATTCACGTGGGGCTTTCACTTTCTCAGAAGCATGCTGCCATTTGTTCCACCTTACGTTCCTCTGCGGGCGAAAGCACCCCCTGTTCAGCTCAGGCTCACCTTCTCCCACAATCACATCACAAACATCTGCAACCTTAGGGTTTCTTTAAGCCCCTTCCTCCTTTTTCACTGAATTGAGATTTCACGGGCACAGTGAATGTTCTTAGGAAGTACTCAATTCTTGAGCATCTTTCCAGCGTCTCAAGCCATGGTATGTTCTTTTAATTGGTAAAATCTAGGGACCACGTCTAACTGGGCCCTGCCATTTCTCTCGCTATTATATACTTGAAGAAGACACAGTTGCTTTCTCCCAAGCTTCCTGTCATTTCCACTCTGCCAACCAATTCCTCCTTTTGGCCAAATTTAGTTCAGAGTGGCAGTTCCGCTTACTACTTCTCCACTCTCTGGAAGATGAAATTGTCGGCATGCAATAATAATAGCTGACGCCTACCGAGTTCTTTCTGTGCCAAAGGCGCCTTTACCATGAGGAAGCGGAGGCACGGAGATGCTGAGTGTCTTGCTCAAGTTCATCCATCTGGCAGGTGGCGGGATGTGGGCATTCGAGCCAGGGTCTGACTCCAGAGCCCAAGTTCTGTTTCTCGCTCTACGCGCCTGTCAAAGACTCTGGTTTCCGCCGGATGGACTTTCAGCAGGTCCGAGGATGTGAAGATCTCCCATCAGCATCTCCCCACCTTGGGGTCGCCTTTGTGATAGGGAGGGGTCTGTGGTCTCTTTCCTGAGTCTGGTTGTGGGAGCTGGGTAACTCCCAATGCAGTGGACAGAGATACCTCTCTGGTATCTCTCCTTGCTTTCCACCCTCAGCCTTCTATCCCTGTGACCTATGACAGCACACCCCCTCCACTCCTCATAGGGCTTTCTTGGTTACTTCCAGGATGTCTTCATGTTCTCCCCGGACGATTCGTGCAGACAGGCTTTTCTTAAACACCTTTGCTTCTTCCCGCCTGTGGACCATCTTACACTGATTGTAGATGTGGCTGGCAGGAGGATAATGGTGGCCCCACCTGTGGACCATCTTACAGTCACTGTAGACGTGGCTGGCAGGAGGATAATGGTGGCCCCGCCTGTGGACCATCTTACAGTCACTGTAGACGTGGCTGGCAGGAGGATAATGGTGGCCCCGCCTGTGGACCATCTTACAGTCACTGTAGACGTGGCTGGCAGGAGGATAATGGTGGCCCCGCATCTGGGACTGGTGGTGGGTTCCCAAGTGGAATAGTTCTCTGTGGATCCCTCTCTAAACCATGGCTTGAGACGTTGGAAAGAGAGTTCTGCTCTTTCCCCCCCTAAATTTCAATAAGTTTTGGGAATGCCACATTTTCTGAGTTAAGTAATCTCATTTTAACTAAATGGCTCTCCAAGGCTGCTTTCCCTTCCATGGTCATTGAGAATACATCTCCCTTTGCCCCACATGATAAAAACCTGCAATCACAGTTAGAACAATAAACACAGAGTTCTTAATATGCACCAGGCGCTGTGTCTAAGGGCTTACAGGATTGATTTGTTTCATTGTTCACAACAACTATTATTATCACCATTTTACAGATGTGGAAATGGAGGCACAGAGAGGCCACACCACTGCTGAACAGGGCATTTTTGCTCATAGAACAAAGTCTATGTGAGTCTGTTTCTTTTACAAATTTTCTATTAATAATTTTCAGCCAATCCATGTGATCAAGAGGACCCTAGATTGAAAGAAGTATCATTTCATTGAAATGATTTCAAATTTAGGCCAGGTGCGGTGGCTCACGCCTGTAATCCCAGCACTTTGGGAGGCTGAGGCAGCAGATCATCAGGTCAGGAGTTCGAGACCAGCCTGGCCAACATGGTGAAACCCTGTCTCTACTAAAAATACAAAAATTAGCTGGGTGTGGTGGTGGGCACCTGTAATCCCAGCTACTCGGGAGGCTGAGGCAGGAGAATCGCTTGAACCCAGGAGGCAGAGGTTGCAGTGAGGCAAGATCGCGCCACTGCACTCCAGCCTGGGGGACAGAGTGAGACTCCGTCTCAACGAAGAAAAAAAAAAAAAAGAAAGAAAGATTTCAAATTTAGTATTATCAAATTTCACCTATAGGCCACTATATACTTAGAATCTATTAGCTTCTGGTCAGTAATTTAAATTATCACGTTTGTTATTATAATTATGTAGAATTGTAATTTCAGAATAGCTTAAATAGTAATTTGACCCAAACTGCAAATATTCTTCTCACATAACCGACTGTAAGTCAGTTCTATCAATTTCTTATTTTTAAGTTTGGTTTGAGATTACTTCACCTATAAACATTTATGGTCTATTAACGTTTCCGCTAATATTTTGAGCATGTTGCAAATAAAGTTTTTTCTATCTTGTTATGCAGTTTTGGCTAACATTTAACTCCTATGCTGTTAGGCATTTCCAGACCTAACTTACCCTAAAGTATAGCCCACCAGGAAACATCATCTCAGAATATCAGACACTACTGCCTCTGTAAATAATTCCATTACTCTGTCACTCAAGTGACTCAGTTCCCACTGGGGTAATAGACTGTCATTTTTGACTTTTGCCAATTGAATTGCAGCTCTGGTTTCCCTGGGAGCCCGGCAGCTTTGCACATAGCTGTGGGTAATGCAGCGGGTTACTCTGGCAAGACTTGCTGTCATTGCTTTCTGCTAATTCCAGGAAAAAACTTATTTTACCTTTCCAAATCCCAGTACCTCTTTTCTTCCCCTGTCTCTCCTCCTTTTCTCCTCACCTTTCTCAACTTGGAGGGGTTTAGTTTGCATTTTTTTTCCTACATGGAGAATGAGTCAGGGTTTTTTTGTTTGTTTGTTTTGTTTTGTTTTTGTTTATTTTTTATTTTTATTTTTTGACGGAGTCTTGCTCTGTCGTCAGACTGGAGTGCAGTGCACGATCTCGGCTCTCTGCAACCTCTGCCTCCTGGGTTCAAACAATTCTCTTGCCTCAGCCTCGCAAGTAGCTGGGATTACAGGCACGGGCCACCATGCCCAACTAATTTTTGTATTTTTAGTAGGGACAGGGTTTCACCATGTTGACCAGGATGGTCTCGATCTATTGACCTCGTGATCCGCCCGCCTCGGCCTCCCAAAGTGCTGGCATTACAGGCGTGAGCCACTGCGCCCGGCCCATGAGTCAGAGTTTTTAACTGCAAACAACAGAAACTGATTCTGATTCACTTGAGCAGGAAAGGAATTTATTGGAAGGATAGTGGGTAAATGTCAGTGCGAAGGCTGGAGACGCAGGTGAGCAAATGGCAGCAGCAGGGGAGGTGGGCAGCTGCACCCACAGCCATGGTCATGCCAGGGGGCGGCCTGGTTGGAAGGCTGTGTCACTGTGACTGCCTGGGACATCAGAGGCTGCGGCTGCCACCCCTGGAGCGAGGCAGCTTCCTCACATACTTGCTCCATGCCCAGGTTTCTTAGCACACATTCCGATGGTTGAGCCCAGATCATGCAACCAAATCCTAATTTCCAAGGGATAGGCCTCTGTTTCCAAACAACGCCACGCAAGAAAAGGCTCCTCTTAGCCGTGAAGAGGTTCAGACGCTGAGCACCCGTCAAACACAACCCCTGCAAATACTGACTATTATAGATTCCAGCTCTGGGGACATCGTCCTTTTATCCTCAAACAGAAGAAGAGTCATTTCTGCTCTCAAAGGGATGAGTGCACCTTTCTTCTTAACAAGGAATACCAACTTCCTGCAGTTTCCTGATATTTAACATTATCTAGTTACTTTATATAAATTATATAATTTTAAAATATTTATATTATTCTTAATATAATTATATTTAATACATTATACTAATATGTTATATAATTTATTAATATAGTAGAATATATTTTATATATTAATGATCTCCCTAGTAATCATCTCCAACATAAGATTAAGGATAATTGTGGCAATTTTAAAATTTTGTTTTGTTTTTGAGACAGGGTCTCGCTTTGTCACCCAGGCTTGAGTGCAGTGGCGCAATCTTGGCTCACTGCAGCCTCGACTTTCTGGGTGCAAATGATCCTTTCGCCTTAGCCTCCCGAGTAGCTGGGACAACAGGCGCGTGCCACCATGCCTGGCTAATTCTTTTGCATTTTGTATTTTTGTAGATATGGGGTTTCACCATGTTGCCTAGGCTGGTTTCAATCTCTTGAGCTCAAGGGATCCACCTACCTCAGCCTCCCAAAGTACTGGGATTACAGGCATGGGCCACCGTGCCTGGCCCAGATGATTCTATATTTTATTTTATTTTTTATTTTATTTTATTATTGTATTTTTTTGAGACAGAGTCTCGCTCTGTTGCCAGGCTGGAGTGCAGTGGTGCGATCTCAGCTCACTGCAACCTACGCCTCCTGGGTTCACATCATTCTCCTGCTTCAGCCTCCTGAGTAGCTGGGACTACAGGTGCCCACGACCACGCCTGGCTAAACTTTTTTTGTATTTTTAGTAGAGACGGGGTTTCACCATGTTGGCCAGAATGGTTTTGATCTCTTGACCTTGTGATTCACCCGCCTCGGCCTCCCAAAGTGCTGGGATTACAGGTGTGAGCCACCATGCCTGGCCGATAATTGTATTTTAAATAAGAAACCTAAAGCTTCAAAATCCTCAAAATATAATACTTAAAAACATTTATACAGATATTAAAGGAATAGTTCAATAGCAGTGAAATATTTTTAATTTGAGAAGCCAAATACATATTCATGAATCACTCTAGAGATACAAAGAGAAACTGCACAATTTCAAAACAGTATGGTCAAAATATGATGTCATTCTGTTTAACTAGCTTTAAGATGTTGCTAGGTGCTCCAATGTTCTAATTTAGACTATAATAGGAAAACACATGTTTTACATAAATGTATTTTCCAAATAACTAGAGAGTATCAGTTTAAGCACTAATCTTTTTTATTCTGATTTTCAAAAAATGTTAAACAAATCCCACTTCACGGGGATTACAGATGTGAGCCGCCACACTTCCCTTTCTTGTATACTGAGTCTATGTTAACCTATTCTTTTTTTCTGGCGTGATCTCGGCTCATTTGCAACCTCCACCTCCCAGGTTCAAGTGATTCTCCTGTCTCAGCCTCCTGAGTAGCTGGGATTACAAGCATGCACCACCACACCCAACTAATTTTGTATTTTTAGTAGAAACAGGGTTTCACCATGTTGGTCAGGCTGGTCTCGAACTCCTGACCTCAGGTGATCTGCCTGCCTCGGCCTCCCAAAGTGCTGGGATTACAGGCGTGAGCCACAGTGCCCAGTGGTTTATTTTTATAGAACAGCTTTATTGAGCTATAACTCATCTACCATATAATTTACGCATTTAATGTGTACAAGGCAATTGCTTTTAGCATGTTCACATACTCATGAAACCATCACCACAATTTTAGAACATTTTCATAACCTCAAAAGGAAACCCCATACCCATTACCAGTCACTCCCATTTTCCCCCAAACCCCCAGACCTAGGTAACCACTAATCTTTCTCTCTCTACAGATTTGCCTTCTCTGAACAATTCATGTAAATGAAATCATGTAACATGTGATCATTTGTGACTGACTTTTTTCACTTAGCATAATGTTTTCAAAGTTTGTCCCTGTTGTAGCATGTATCAGTACTTTATTCTCTTCTATGGCTGAGAAATGTTCCACTGCATAGCTGGGCGCAGTGGCTCAAGCCAGTATTCCCAGCACTTTGGGAGGCTGAGGCGGGTGGATCGCTTGAGCTCAGAAGTTCAAGACCAGCCTGGGCAGAAACCCCATCTCTACCAAAAATACAAAAAATTAGTCGGGTGTGGTGGCAGGCACCTGTGGTCCCAGCTACTGGGGAGGCTGAGGTGGGAGGATCGCTTGAGCCCAGGAGGAGGTTGCAGTGAGCTGAGATAGCATCACTGAACTCCAGCCTGGGTGACAGAAAGAGATCCCATCAAAAAAAAAAAAAAGAAGAAAGAAGAAAGAAAGAAAGAAGGAAAGAAAAAGAAAGAAAGAAAGAGAAAGAAAAGAAAGAAAGAAAGAGAAAAAGAAATTCCACTGCATGGATATACTGTATCCACTCGTCAGTTAGTTGATGGACATTTGGGTTTTTTCCACTTCTTGGTAATCATGAATGATGCTGTTCTGAACATTCATGTTCGGGTGTTAGTATAGCATGGCTTCAGGTGTTAGTATAGCATGTCTTCAGGTGTTTGTATAGCATGTCTTCATTTCTTTTAGGTCCCTAGGAATGGAATTTGTGAGCCACCTGATAACTCCATGCTTTTACCTTTTGAGGAGCTGCCAGACTCCTTTCCAAAGTTTCTGCACCATCTTACATTCCCACCAGCAGTGTATGAGGGTCGCAGTTTCTCCACATACTTGTTTTATTTGACCTTTTGATGCTAGGCATCCTAGTGCATATAAAGTGATATGTCATTGTAGTTTTTGTTTTTGGGGTTTTTTTAGACAGGGTTTCACTCCCGTCACCCAGGCTGGAGTGCAATGGCACAATCTCGGCTCACTGCAACCTCTGCCTCCTGGGTTCAAGTGAGTCTCCTGCCTCAGCCTCCTGAGTAGCTGGGATTACAGGCACAGGCCACTGTGCCCGGCTAATTTTTGTATTTTTTTGTAGAGACGGGGTTTCACCATGTTGGTCAGGCTGGGTTTGAACTCCTGGGCTCAAGCGATCCACCTGCCTCAGCCTCCCAAAGCGCTGGGATTACAGGTGTGAGCCACAGCGCCTGGCCTCTCATTGCAGTTTTGATTTGCATTTCCCTGATGACAAATGATATCAAGCATCTTTTCACATGATTACTGGCCATTTGTATACCTTCTGTGGAAATGTGGTAACACCCTTTGCTGATTTTAAAATAGGGTTATTTGTTTATTATTGAGTTGAAATAATTCCTTCTTTTGAGTGTCAGTGACTGAGGTTCGCTGTGACACAGAGGGGTTCTCCTGGAGAGCTATGGCACATGCTCCATATTAAAAGGCAACATGATGCTGTCAGGAAGAACACAAAAGCAATTATAAAAACGTGTTAGTACATATTTATGCATCTTTTTTCTTACTCTCTCTTTGCTATCTATTCTCACAGCTCTAAATATGAATTATTTCTCTAGGTAGAGGCCAAGCATGAGTCAGCTTCTCCCAAGAATCAGTTGCCTGGGCTTCGAGACAGTTTTCTGCCGTATTTTGGGTAATTGTAGTTGCCAGGAGTCTGACTTCTGAGGGTGTCAGGTGCCATTTGCCGTTAAGTGGAGATAGTAGGTTGAACAGGGTGGGACTAATTGGGGCCAGTTTTGAGGAGGTGAATCTTTAGTGAAATCGCCAAGAACACAGTGGTGAGGACCTGGCAGAGAGGAGGAGATTCCAAGGCTGGGGGAATTGGGTAGTGGCGTCTGGGCACTGGGTCCTGTAGAAGGGAATTGGCGAGATGAATGAGCAGGGCTTCACAGGTGTGACTGATCTTGGTAAAGACGGTGAGAAGCCGTGACCAGGCAGGGTGTGCATGGGAGCAGTGAAAGGTCTAAAATTCAGCCTTTGAGCTCAGTGCTAGGTTCATGCTAGTAATTGGTTCCGATAGGTTAAGCTTCCTCTGGTTTGCCGGTGTGAGAAGAAAGAAAAACCTACTCCTCCCTGTTTCCGCCTCACCAGCTTCCCTTCTCTGCCAGCCCCACCCTGCCCCCGGCCCGTGTGGCTAAACTGCCCAACTGCCGATTAAAACCCGCACCTCCCAACATACCTCGCACCACCCAGAGGCCCCGGTCCCCGCCATTCATTCCGCTCCCGGCCGGGAGTCGCTCTAGCCAATCACCTTCCAGGCTCAGGGCGGCCGAGGCAGGGCCTCTGCCTCTTCGGGGGGCCTCTCCCTCCCCCTGCCCCTGATTGTGGCTGAACTGCCACCGCTTGATAGCAAACCACACTCGGCACAGGAAGGAGAACAGCGCCCGCGGCCCCGGGCCTCCATGAAATCAGCAAGGGCGCGCTCCTCCCACCGCCGCGCTGCTGAGCCTCCCGCCTTTCCTTCCGGTCGCTCGCGCCTCGAGAGGCGCCGCAGGGAGCCCTCTGCCGGTCCCGCCCTTCGCTGTTAGCGCTTAGGATCTGGTGCCTTTTCACGTGGGGGCGGGTGGGCGGGAGGCGAGTCTGGGGTCTTCGGGCCGGGCCTCCGCTCTCTGGCAGTTTGCACCTTGCTCCACTCACTGGCCTGCGGTCTGTGTTCACTCCTCCTCCTCTCCCACGTCTCAGGAACCTGCAGCTGGCCCCCGAGCCCGCGCCCTCCCGGTTCTAGGAATTCACCACTTTCTTGCCTTTGTTTGGGTATCTTTTGTTTGGAGCCAGAGCCGGCTCCAAGGAGGAGCTGCCGGAGGGTGCTAGGCTTTTTGCAGAGGAAGTGAGGAGCAGAGTGATAGGGCGTGAAGTCAGAGGGAGCAGAGAAGGGGCCGAATCCAGCGGGGCCCGGATCATGCAGGGCCCGGAGCCTGTGGTGAGGACTCCGGGATTTATATTCACCAATTATGAGAAAGGACTTCTCGGCCGGGCGCGGTGGCTCACACCTGTAATCCCAGCACTTTGGGAGGCTGAGGCCGGCGGATCGCCTAAGGTCAGGAGTTCGGGACCACCCTGGACAACATGGTGAAACTTTGTCTCTACTAAAAATACAAAAATTAGCCAGGCGTGGTGGTACATGCCTGCAATCCCAGATACTTGGGAGGCTGAGGCAGGAGAATCGCTTGAACCCAGGAGGCGGAGGTTGCCGTGAGCCGAGATCGTGCCACTGTACTCCAGCCTGGGCAACAAGAGCGAAACTCCGTCAAAAAAAAAAAGAAGAAGAAGAAGAAGAAGAAAAGAAAAAAGCAAAGAAAGAAAAGAAAGAGGACTTATCAATGACCACAAATGACTAAGTCCTCAACCTCTCCAACAGCTCTAGAGCAAATGACACTTTAGCCTGTGCTGAGCCCCTACAAGGTGCTAGACCAAGTATTCTTGGGGATATATACAAATGTGAACAAGCCAGAGACCCTGCCTGGCAGGACTCACTGTCCAGGGGGAAGGCAAAACTGCAAAGATGAGCTGGGACGCCCCATGGGAAACGCTGGACAGAGTCAGCCACAAAGCCATCCCCTTGCAGCCTCCTCCTTGGCATGGCCTTATTTTCCTTGTTGGATCCCTAGTGTCCTACCCCATGCCAGGTCCCACCCCAGGAGGGTCCAGTTCACACTTCCAGAAAGTTTGGGCTGCACTGTCCCAGCGGCTGTGCCCTTCGTGCTCTCCCGCTCCCAGGACTCTCCCAGCACCGCGTGCCCATTTTCCCCAAGGTCCTTTCGGCCCTGGACCAGACCATGGTTAGTTATGGGTGCCCCTTCCCCTCGCTGTCCCACTCCACGCCCTGGCACTGATAGGACACTTCCATGTTATCTTTGCACCACCTGGACTCTTTGATCATATGTTGATACTGTCGGTGTTTCAGGACAGGAAGAGGCAGTGTCCCCACAGAGGTCAGTCACCGGAGTCAGTGGCTGCGGGAGGCCATGGGCAGCAGGGAGCTAGAGGAGCTGATCTCAGGATTGGAGACCGCCACCTCCTCCAGGAGGAGAAACACGCGGGGAAGAGCCCCCAGCCCCACCCCACCCCCGCACTGCCTTCAGCCTCTGCATTGACCCCTCCGCTTTTCCAGGATGGGCATCATGAGGCGTTGAGTGGTACCAATGTGGGCGGTGGGCTCTCCTCTTTCCGGTTTTAATTCTTGGTTCTTAAAAACTCCGTTCCAAATGAGGGAAATGAAACTACTGAACACTCTCCCCCAGCAGCCAGCTGACGTGGGGCAAGAGAACAATTCCCAGTTAAGGCCCCAAAGGAAATCCCCTCCCTGCCATGTGCTGAGGCTGGAGAAGTGGGGGCTGGAGAACTGGAGAAGTGGGGGCTAGGAGAAGTGGAGGCTGGAGAAGTCGGGGCTAGGAGAACTGGGGGCTGGAGAACTGGGGGCTGGAAAGGGGGGGCTGGGAGAAGTGGGGGCTGGAGAACTGGGGTCTGGAGAAGTGGGGGCTGAAGAAGTGGAGGCTGGAGAAGTGGGGACTGGGAGAAGTGGGGGCTAGAGAAGTGGGGGCTGGGAGAAGTGGGGACTGGGAGAAGTGGGGGCTAGAGAAGTGGGGGCTGGGAGAAGTGGGGTCTGGAGAAGTGGGGGCTAGAGAAGTGGAGGCTGGAGAAGTGGGGGCTGGAGAAGTGGGGGCTGGGAGAAGTTGGGGAGGCTCTATCTAGCTCACTGCTCCGCCACCAAGGTGAAGGGCCTGTCTGTGGCCAGCGGCTGAGAGCCCACAGCACAGCGGAGAACCCCAGAGGCAGGAGCAAGAGGACCATGATTTTGCCCGGGGTGAGCCGCCAGTTCCAGGTCCCCATGGCTCCACTGCTAGGTGCAATCCCTGTGCTCCTCTCTCACAGACCTGTCTGGAGTGGGGAGCAGCCCTGGCTCCTCCCATGGCTCCCTTGCACACCGAGTTGTGTCCCCTCTCACAGGCCAGCTGTAGCCCCCTCCCCTGGTCTTGAATAGGTTGCCATCTGGAAAAGCAGTCAGGGGTCGGGGTGGAGGGCAGAAGCCAAGGCTCCCTTTGATCTCCTTGGGAGGCTGAGAAGTCCCACAAGTGACAAACTCTTATGAAGCTTAGTTTAAGAAAGAAAAGAGATCCCCACACCCTCAGAGGGCAACAGCTAGAGAATTATACAAAGTGGGTTGACCGCCATCATTCCTTCCTTCCCTCTCTTCGTTTCTTTCCTCCTTCTTTCTTTTTTGTGGAGATGGAGTTTCGCTCTTATTGCCCAGGCTGGAGTGTAATGGCACGATCTCAGCTCACTGCAACTGCCACCTCCCGGGTTCCAGCAATTCTCCTGCCTCAACCTCCTGAGTAGTTGGGACTACAGGAATGCACCACCACGCCCAGCTAATTTTTTGTATTTTTAGTAGAGATGGGGTTTCACTATGTTGGCCAGGATGGTCTTGAATGCCTGACCTCAGGTGATCCACCCACCTTGGCCTCCCAAAGTGCTGGGATGACAGGCGTGAGCCACTGCGCCCGGCCTCCTCCTCCTTTCTTTGAGCAAATAGTCACCAAGCCCCTTTATGTGCATAAGATAGTATATTTTTTGGAATAACACATGACCCTGCCTCCAAAAGTTTGTAGTGGGCCAGGCATGGTGGCTCACGCCTGTAATCCCAGCACTTTGGGAGGCTGAAGCGGGCGGATCACCTGAGGTCAGGAGTTCAAGACCAGCCTGGCCAACATGGTGAAACCCCGTCTCTACTAAAAATACAAAAAATTAGCTGGAAGTGGTGGCGGGCGCCTGTAATCTCAGCTACTTGGGAGGCTGAGGCAGGAGAATTGCTTGAACCCAGGAGGCGGAGGTTGCAGTGAGCCGAGATGGCACCATTGCACTCCAGCCTGGGCAACGGGAGTGAAACTCTGTCTCAAAAGAAAAAAAAAGTCTGTAGTGTAGTTGTGGAAAAAAGGCAGAAGTCCAAAAAATTAAATCACAACACAAGAGATGTCATGAGGTCGGTGGATTATGGGAACGCTGGCACCATGTGTTCACAGGACAAGGTGGCAATTGCAGTGGGGAAGGCTTCATGGAGGAGGGGAGTCCAAGCCATGCCTTTGGGATGGGGAGGGTTGGGGTAGGCAGAAGAGGCCATTCCAAACAAGGGAACCCTCTGCCAGAGAGAGTAGAGAGTGGGGAGCGTTTGTTCTGTGTTTGGGAAAATCGTGATCAGCCCGGGCTGGGTGAACCCACCTGCAGGCCATGTGTGCAGTGATCATGAAGCATGGGCGGTAGTCGTGAAGAGAGGCTGGAGGCAGCTCAGGCCGAATGGACTTTCTCCTCCAGCCGGGAGCCGCCTGGGTTCTTGCTTTCACTTCGGATCAGAGACGCTGCTGCGCTGCTTGACACTAGACTTGCTTTATTCCTGTTGAGTGGAATACAGCAAACACCCCAATAGGTGGAGCAGGCTCAAAGCAAGAGGCACATGGCCCCCCAGAAATTCTCATGATCCTGTGGAGGGGTGAGCTTGGTCAGGGCAACCAGGCCTGGATGCACCAGGGTTGCATCTGAGAGGAAGCACCCTGGTCTCCTCTGCCTCGAAAAGCATAGTGAGGGGGGAGCCCAACCAAGTTGGAGGATGCTGAGCTGTGCAGTCGGGCTTCCAGCCGTGCTGGCACGTTCTCCTTTCAGCTGAAATCTGCATTGGTTTCAGCTGGACGTCCAGGCTTCCACCCACTGAGGCAGCGTGCTGCTAGCCTAGGGGAGGGCTGCTGGTGTTGCCAACCAACTGGCTTGTCTCTACACATCCATCAAGAGCACTGGGGCCGGGTGCAGTGGCTCACACCTGTAATTCCAGCACTTTGGGAGGCCAAGGTAGGCAGATTGCTTGAGCCCAGGAGTTTGAGATCAGCCTGGACAACATGGTGAGACCCCTGTCTCTACCAAAAATACAAAAGACATGGTGGTGTGTGCCTGTGGTCCCAGCTACTGAGGAGGCTGAGGTAGGAGGATCACCTGATCCCAAAGGTCGAGGCTGCAGTGAGCCTTGATTGCGTCACTGAACTCCAGCCTGGGCAACAGAGTGAGACCCTGTCTCAAAAAAAAAAAAAAAAAAAAAAAAAAAGAAAGAAAAAGAATTAAAAAGAAAAAAAAAAGACCATTGGTT
This sequence comes from Homo sapiens, assembly GCF_000001405.40. Taxonomy (NCBI): domain Eukaryota; kingdom Metazoa; phylum Chordata; class Mammalia; order Primates; family Hominidae; genus Homo; species Homo sapiens. The sequence goes on from NC_000003.12 coordinate 196,637,338, forward strand.
TACTAGATTTTTTTTTTAGGGGTAGCAGCTGCCTTTCTCAAAAGAAATTCTATAGAGAATCTCCCAATGTATAAAACATATCAAAGTAGAATTCTTGGGATGTGGAGGGAATGGGGTACCTGGATCCCACCTGCCAGTCTTTAGGCATTCATGAGGAACCCTTGAACCTGCTGAACCCTGTAAAAGGGCTTTAAGCAGAGAGTGAGATGACCCAATACACATTTTAGAAAGATGCCCGTGGCAGCTAGGTGGAGTTGACATTGGACAGGGATGAGATTAGGGGCAGGGAGCGAGTTTCAGGAGGCTATGAAAGTGGTCCAGACATGAGCTGATGAGGTCTAGACCCAGGGCAACAGCCTAAGGATGAAAAGCAGGTTGGATTCCAGAAACATTTCTGAGTTAGAATCAGCAGGAATTGGGGGTCAATTAGATATGAAGGATGAAGTCTGTGAGGGCTGGACTGCCTGGGCTGAAACATACCGTAAAGTGTGACAGCCATACAGGAGAGAAACTGCTGGGACAAAGGATAAGAGTTGAGTTTGGGGCCAGGCACAGTGGCTCATGCCTGTAATCCCAGGACTCTGAGACTGAGGTGGGCGGATCACCTGAGGTCAGGAGTTTGAGACCACCCTGGCCAACATGGTGAAATCCCATCTCTACTAAAAACACAAAAATTAGCTGGGCGTGGTGGTGGGCGCCTGTAATTCCAGCTACTTGGGAGGTTGAGGCAGGAGAATCACTTGAACCTGGGAGGCAGAGGTTGCAGTGAGCTGAGATTGCGCCACTGCTCCAGCCTGGGTGACAGAGCAAGACTGTCTCAAAAAAAAAGAGAGAGAGTTGAGTTTGGGATACATCATGTTATGGTGACTCTGGGACATGTAGCAGTTGATTGACCAGTAGACAGTTAAAAATGCAAGTCTGGATCTTCTCTCGTGGAAGAGAATGTTGGAGCTAGAAATTAAAATTGGGGAGTTACCAACTGATTGGTAGACACAAAAGACATGAAGTAGAGAATGTGCATACAAGAGAGAAAGAGGCCTGAATCAAGCACCTGGGTTTGCAACAATTTGATCTTTATTTAGCTTTTTCATTGGTGTGATTGTTATTACCATTATGAGATAATATTTTATTTTTAAAATTATTTTTATTTTTTTAAAGACGGAGTCACACTCTATCACACAGGCTGAAGTGCAATGGCGTGATCTTGGCTCACTGCAGCCTCAACCTCCCTGTGCTCAGGTGATCCTCCCACCTCAGCCTCCCAAATAGCTGGGACTACAGGTGCGTGCCACCAGGTCTGGCTAAGTTTTAAATTTTTTGTACATATGGAGTCTCAGTATGTTGCCCAGGCTGGTCTTGCACTCAGGCGGTCCACCTGCCTTGGTCTGCCAAAATGCTAGGATTACAAGCCTGAGCCTCTGTGCCCGGCCATGAGTGAATATTGTAGAAAGCAGAGACAATGTGCCAGATGTTTGGAGTGAAAAGGACTTGGCTCCTGTTCTCTTAGGATGGACAATGCTACACACAATCCCAAATCACAGGCTATAAGAGAGGTGACCCAATCCTGCAGGACAGTTCAACGTTTCAGATTTGAAGGGGAGTGAGAGAGATCAGAACTGGAGGCCCCTTGTCTGAGCCCCCGACTATGGTGGTCCACGTCACTCCACACGCAGCAGGCACTGTAAATATTTCACCTTCTCTAGACGACAGTAGTTCCTCGAGAACAGGAGCGCTGGGGTAATGCATATGAAGCTCTTAGCACAGTGTCTGGCGCTGCTTCAATGATGGCTATATGATCAATTATTCTTACTCCTTTGAATTCTTGGCAAGAGCTGGCAGGGAACTTTGTACACATCAGGTACAAAAAAACCCATCCGCGCAGTCTAAGATCAAGAAGCTCTTGGCACTCTCTGACAGTCCTCGACAAAGCAATTCCCCTTCTTTCTAACACAGGGTCCGTAAAGGAGATGATCCACAAGGACCGGCTGAGTGGATAAGAAGACAGACTGGCTGAGCGGCTGACCCTGCCAGACGACAGGCTGTGCCTCTTTACCACGGTGCTGCCGTTCCCAAAGTCGGCCTCAGCTTGGTCCTTGGCTGGAAGCTCGTAGCAAAGTTTCTGGGTCAGCAGACCTCATAGGCAAGGGGCCCCTAGCTGGCCGCCCCCAGCCCTGCCAAGGCACCAACGCAAGAAAGCCGGGGGAGCCTCGGTCGCATTGCTGGAAGATCGTCTAAACATCCCCGCTGCTCGGCCGCTAGGCCGGCAGGTGTTCGGGCCCCGCTCCCCCGGCCCGCCCCACCCCCGCGCCCGCGCCGCGCTTCCCTCTAAGAGGCCGGGTCTGAGTGAGCCTGTGCTGAGTCGCCGAGCAGCCCGCTCTCCATGTGACTTCAGTTTCCGTCCGTTCCTTCCGCTGGTGCTAAAATAATCTGATGCCCCACAGCAAGGAGGTAGCCCAGCCCCGCGTTCGGCTGCTCTCGAGGAGGCCGGAGCCCCCGGAGACGATGCGCCCCGCGCAGCCGCCTGCGCCTGCGGGAGCCGTGAGTATTTCCCGCGTGGGGGCGTCCCCGGGGCACAGCCGGGGCCCTTCTCCAGGTGGGCGAGCTCGAGCGAGGTTGGGTGGTAGGAGGTCAGCGTCCGCGGCCCGCAGCTCAGGGCTCACGAGGAAGCTGTGGCTTGCTGCGTCCAAGCGCCGCCGCTTTTGTGCTGGGCGTGGGGGCTGCAGCTCTGGGTGGAGGTGGAAATACCTCCCTCCAGGAGCACTTAGAGCTGAGAAAGGTGGTGCGACGTAGTGGAAACCACGAGGGCTTCAGATTCAGACGTGGGTTTGAGTCCTGGCTCTGCAGGGAGCATGTGAGCAGACAGTTAAGGTTTCTGAGCCTCAGTTTTCTCATCTGCAAAATGGGAACAGAGATGCTCCCTCCCTGGGCTGGGCGACTGGATATGATGAGACCGCTCTGTGCACACTCAGCATGCTGAGCACTGGGCTCTCCTTTCCTGTCCCACAACGTGGATTGAGAACCACTATCTCATAGATGAAGACACTAAGACTGGTTAACAGCAACACCTATCACAGATGCCGTCCACGTGCCAGGCCTGTCCAAGGCCCTGGGGATACAGCTGTGAAAATGTGCAAAGCCCCTTCTCCCACAGAACGTTTGTCCTTGGGAGATTCACTGGGGCTCTGTGACTTGGATCTTAGCCTAGACTTAGATCCATGGCTTATCAGAGGGAGACTAACAGGAGGGCGACGAAGACTCGGACGCTCTTCCGTAGCCCTCGTGGCCCCTGCATGTGGGCCGGCTTCTGAAGGGGTCAGCGTACTTCCCCACGTACCCAGGAGCTAGACGGAAAGAAGTAAGGAGCCACTGGTGTGGCTTTGTGCTGCCTCTGAGAGAAGGTGGACACGTGCCAGTTGGTGGCTGCGACTGGAGGAGGCCGGATCGGGGGTCCTAGGAATGGAGCCTCTCCGGACAGGGCTGGTCGGGGCTGCTGTGCTTCCCTAGGGGCTGAGGGGACCCCACCGGAGGCTTCTTCATGATGGGCACAGCCCGTTAGGAGTCTGGGTGCTAGAAACATTCAGCGTCTGTGGCCCTCCATGCTTTCCTGTGTGCTCCTCACCTGCCGGCTGTGACACACAGACTGTTCTGTGGATGCTGAGGGTTTGCTGGGCTTTACATTTACAATACGTATTTATTCTCCTCACACACCTCTTAGGTTTGTGTGTGTGTGCCCGAGAGTCCCTAAAGGAGATTATAGAATCATGGGCCCAGGAAAAAACCTTAACTCCTGCCTTTAGGTTAAAAAAACAAAACAAAACAAAACAAAACAAAACAAACTCAGCTTCACAAAGAAGGCACTTTTTAAAAATATATATATTTATTTATTTATTTTTAGAGACAGGCTCTTGCTCTGTTGCCCAGACTGGAGTTCTGTGGCACGATCACAGATCACTGCAGCCTCAAACTCTTGGGCTCAAATAATGCTCCTGCTTCAGTCACCTGAGGAGCTAGGACAACAGGTGCACACCACCATGCCAGCTAATTTTTAAAATTTTTTTGTAGACACAGGATCTTGCTGTGTTGCCCAGGCTGGTCTCAAACTCCTGGGCTCAAGCAATCCTCCTGCCTTGGCCTCCCAAAGTGCTGGGAGTGTGGGCGTGAGTCACCGCCCCCAGCTTTCATGTAATGAGTGCCCTCATGGGAACTTCATGAAAACACATTCTCTTATAGTTTTTAAATTCATCATCCAAGAGTTCCTGCTCTTTGATGATGAGACATACCTGGTAGACTCCAAAACAGAGAGCAGACGCCTAGTATCTTTGTTCTGGGGTGTGCATTAAGAGTACATTGACCTGTCTGTCTCCAGTCTTGACTCTTTTGGAAGAGAGATGCTAGTACTGATGACAACCTGCATTCTGGCTGCGGTGTGCGTCCACACTGCACAGTGTGCACCAGACTCTCGTATGGACAATGACTGTCCCTCACATCAGGCGCAGATCCATTTTAGAGCCTCAGAAGTCAGGAGAGGGTGGACTTTCAACCACGACTGAAAACACTGTCTTTCTTAGGACATGCTGTGTGTATGACACACTTACAGATGTCTGTGCTCACTGATGCTTGTTGATGTGTCATCGCACATCAGTGACAAACATTTGTCATGTTTTTGCCTTTGGTGGAACTTCTTTATTATACTCACTTTCCTCCCAAACCATTTTTCTCAACTTCATCATGAAGCAAATGTCATGTGGTCATTCTGTGATGGGGCTCAGGGCTAGGTTAGGTGATGATTTCTGAAAGCTCAGAGACGTGAAGGAAAAAGGACATCAGTGCTTGGATCTTAGCTCTTATAAGCCTCACGTGCAACAATAAACCCGAGTTCAAGAATCAGATTCTTAGATAGATTGGTTTGGTAGCAAATGACAAAAAACCAACGTAAATATGCTTCGGCAAAAAAGAAAAAAAAAAAGGATTTATTGTTTCAAATAACTGAAAAGTGTATGGGCAATAGTTTCAGGCATGGCTGAGTCCAGATGCTCAAATGGCATTGCCAGGAATCCATCTGTCTCCTTTCCTCAGCTTTGCCTTCCTCTCTGTGGGCCTCTTTACCAGGCAAGTCCCGGAGCTGGTGGCAAAGATGGCTGCCTGCAGCTCCAACTATATTCCTACTGGTTTGGCATCTGAAACAGAAAGAGCAAGTCTCCTTTCCATGAGTTCTAGCAACTGCCCGTGGATTGATTCTCATGGGCTTGGCTTTTATGATGAGCCTGTTAGGAAAATGGAGTGCTCTCACGGGCCCAGCCTTACTCATAGGCCCCGCCCTGGAACCAGGAGCTGGGATCAGACCCGAACACACAGACTTTTGAAGAAAGGAAGGGGGTTGGTTGCACAGCCGCGTAAGGGTACTTAACACTACTGAATTGTACACCTAAAAATGGTTAAGATGGTCACTTTCGGCCGGGCGCGGTGGCTCATCCCTGTAATCCCAGCACTTTGGGAGGCCGAGGCGGGTGGATCAGGAGGTCAGGAGTTTGAGACCAGCCTGGCCAAAATGGTGAAACCCCGTCACTACTAAAAATACAAAAATTAGCTGGGTGTGGTGGTGAGTCCCTGTAATCCCAGCTACTCAGGAGGCTGAGGCAGGAGAGTCGCTTGAACCTTGGAGGCGGAGGTTGCAGTGAGCCGAGATGATTGTGCCATTGCACTCCAGCCTGAGCCACAAGAGCAAAATTCTGTCTCAAAAAAAAAAAAAAAAAGATAATCGCTTTCATGTTTTGTGTATTTTACTACAATTAAACATTTTCTAAAGAAAAAAAGGAAAGAAAGGGGGTGATTTTCTCAAAGGGGAATTGAGGGGTTGTTACCAGAAGGAGAAACGAATGTGAGTGAGTAGGCGAAACCAACCAATTTCCAGAGCGAACGGAGTCAGGTGCTGACCCCAAGCCAATGTGTCTTTTCTCACTTTAATGCCTGAGGGATTTCAGAGTGAACAGAGTGAAGAAAGGAGGAAGTGGAACCTCGTCATGGTCCTCACCCACGAGGTGGGCGCGAGGAGCAGGCTGGTACTGGATAGGCTCAATGTGGCCACAAAGCCTGGTGAGGTCACAGGGACTCCCCTCCTCCAGCCCCAACCCAAAAGGTTGCCTAAGGCAGGTGCTGCGCCATGTGCACCAAGCAACTTTCTGCTGCCACCTCCAAGAAAGAGAAGGACCGGGAGGGGATTTCTCCCAGGAGAGAGAGCACATAACGCTCCGTCTTTTCACCTGTCTGTTCTCAAGCAGGACCTAAGTGTCTAAGGCAACCCCACACCCACAGTGCCTGGCAGGGGCCCACCCATGGGTACACATCGTGTTCTCCTAAGCTCATGTCACTCCATTTCAGATGTCAACTGGACATGGACTCCTGCTGATCCTCCCTACTGTCATTCACTCCTCTCCTGCTCCAGCCCTGATCCCTGAGGTCTCTTCTACCCTTGCAGTGTCTCCCCTCTGTGGTCCTCAGGCACCAAGGCTGAGCCCTTTCCCTCGGCCCTGCAGTGTCTCCCCTCTGTGGTCGTCAGACACCAAGGCTGAGCCTTTTCCCTTGGCCCTGCAGGCTCAGTGGGGAGCAGGGCTTTCCCTGCCTGGCCCTGGACCACCTCCTTCAACTTCAGCAAGTTAGCGGTCTCCCTGTCACCAGCCAGCCTGACACCCTGAGACCTCCTCATGGGCCTCGGCCGTTCTCTTGTTCTAGGTTATTGGGCCCTTCCTCAGGTCCTTAAACTGATGCTTCCATTCAGCTTCTCATCTCCTTCCAAATCCCCAGTTTTCTTCTAGGCTCTCTGGCTAGAGAAGGTTAGAGCCATTTTGAAGGCCTCTGACAGCCCCCGTCTTGCTTTGTCTCCACAGAAGGCCATGGTCCCATGATACACTCAGGGGTGCTGTTCAGAATATCAGGCACCGCATGGCACAGCTACTTGGGAGGCTGAGGCAGGAGAATTGCTTGTACCCTGGAGGCGGAGGTTGCAGTGAGCCAAGGTCACGCCGCTGCACTCTAGCCTGGGTAACAGAGTGAGACCCCGTCTCAAAAAAAAAAAAAAAAGTTAAATCACTTGATATGCATTCTGAAATATTTAAAGGAAAGTATATCAATGACTGCAATGTACTTTGAAATGCACGATCAGGCTGGGTGCAGTGGCTCACACCTGTAATCCCAGCACTTTGGGAGGCCAGGGCGGGAGTTTGAGACCAGTCTGGCCAACATGGTGAAACCCCATCTCTATTAAAAATACAAAAATTACCCGGGTGTGATGGTGATCTGTAGTGATCTGGTGCCTGTGATCCCAGCTACTTGGGAGGCTGAGGCAGGAGAATCTCTTGAACCCCGGAGGCAGAGATCTCAGCGAGCAGAGATCGCACCATTGCACTCCAGTCTGGCGACAGAGTGAGACTCTGTCAAAAAAAAAAAAAAAAAAAAAAGAAAGAAAGAAAGGTGGCATGGGTGGTGCTGTGTGCCTGTAGCCCCAGCTACTCGGTAGCCCTAGGTGGGAGGACTACTTGAGGCTGGGAGCTTGAGGCTGTAGTGTGCTACAATCCCATCTGTGAATAACTACTGCACTCCAGCCTGGGCAACATAGCAAGACCTCTAAAAAAAAAGGAGAAAGAAAGATGGACAGAAGGATAGATAGATGGATAGATGTATGTTGTTGGGGAAAAGTTAAATGACTAACAGTACCTAGTAACTGTTCACATTCCTTGTCATGATCATAAAAATCAAATAATAAGAAATTAGAAAACTTCCATAGGAAATGTAGCTACCTATAATACACTGCCATATGAATTACTGGGTTATTGCTCCACTCAACTTTTAGCTTGTGATGAGGAGGTGATACCAGCACTGAGCCTGCAGGATGAGTAAGAGCTTTGCAGGTGAACAAGACCAGCAAAAGAGCCTTTCCCACAGAGGACAGAGCGTGTGGGCATGCGTGATTTAGTCAAGGGTCGCAGGCATCCCAGGGTGGCTGGGGCTTGTGGTATTGAGGTTGAGCTGATGCAGAAGTCACAGACCTGGGTTTGAATTGTGGCTCTAACATTCTCTAGCTGTACAGCCTAAACCTATGTGAGCCGCCATTGACCAAGTGTGAAATGGAGATGACAACATTTACCTGCTAGGATTTTTGTGGGAATTATATGTAAAGTACCCGGTATAGCCCGTGTTCCAAGGTGAGCACTCAGTAAGCATGAGCTGTCACAGTGAAGAGCCCGGACAGAATCTGGGAGTGATTATGCAGACCTCGAACACCACTGAATTGACCTTTGAATCGGCCTCTTGTCAGGAATCCATATGCTTTCGTTCTTCAATCGTACACTTTCTCAAGGAAACCAAGTAGTCGGGGTGGGGGGATATATTTTCATTGTTTTCCCACTGGGGCCACTAAGCCGCTGTCATCACCCATAAAAAACCCCTGCCCACAGTCTACCGTGGACCCTGGGTGCTCGCTTCTCCCCTGGACATCCCAGGGTCCACACGCTGCAGCTCCCAGGGGTGGGAGAAGGGACGAAAGCTCCTTCTCCTTCACTGTATTTCCCTCAACACCAGCTTGCTGTTTGCACAGAGGAACTCTGCTTTCCCTTTGATTAATACACCTCTTTGTCTCACTATGGAAAGCGTCTGTCCCCCTCCAGTGGGGGCGTGTCCTCCTGCAGGCCTTGGAAGGCTTGGTGGGGTCCCCCGCCCACTAAACGTGAAGTCCGAACATTCCCTTACATCGACAAAGCCTTTTCACACACACTGTCCCATTCAGTCTCGACACAACCCTGTGAGGCCATCAAGGCAAGTGCTGTCCTCCGTGGTCACCACCAGAGTGAAGGAGCCAGGCTTGGGCCCAGGCCTCCTTCCCCAGCCCAGGGTCCCTTCCTCTACACAGGTCCCACCTGCTCCTTCTTATCGAGAAGGGCGGTGGCAGGTAGCCACTCCCTCAGAAGTGACCAGAGGGAACAAACTTGTGATACTGAAGGGAAATCAGATGCTAATGCGTTATGCGGTTGAGCGCCTATCAGCAGAGATTATGTGGGTCTCTCCTATAGAAAGGTGACACCGAGGACCTACCACCAGCCACCACCAGCATGCAAGGGCGAGGTGTCACCTCCCAGTGGGAGCAGGTTTGCATTTATTAAGACCTGTGGCCAGATGGCAGCCTGTGGGCATGGAACAGGACGAGGTGGGCTGACCTCTGATGGCTCTACCAGGCCGACGCTGACCACGTAGGGAAGCCAGTTGGCTTATTCGTGGCCCTAAGGAAGTGAGGGCTGAGCAGGGAGGTGCTCAAAGCGGGCTCCTCACACTGGCTGTCTGGAGTCGCTGTGGGAAGGGCCCAGGGGAAGAAGGGTTGCTGGGGCCTCTGAATCCCCCCCCGATGGAGGCAGAGCCTCATCCATTCCCAGAGAGTCTCTCGCCACGAGCCCCGGTACAGCGCAGGCTGACCAGAGAACCGGAGAACCGGGTGGGAACCGGAGATCTGAGTTGAACCAGTGCTGGGAACCATGGCACTGCCTTCGCCGAGCCGCCGCGTGCCTCTCTTTTCACCTCTCTGGCCTGCATATTCTTTTAGCAAACTTGGGGATTATACTACACATTCTGCTTTACACTTTCCTTTCCTTGATATTATTTTATTATGAACGTCTTTCTGCGTCAATCAATATATTGCTACCAAAGCATTTTTTTATCATACCACGTCATTCCTATCATGTAGTTTTACCATAACTTATTTAGCCAGTGCTTCCATTATTGGACTTTTGATGGTTTCCACTTTTTTATTATTCTTACTAATGTTACAATGAATATTTCTTTTAAAATATTTTTATGTACATTGTATTTCCTTAGGATAAATTCCTAGAACTTGAGTCATTGAATCAAAAAGAATCCAGACTTTCAAGGTCTTTGATAAATTGGCTAAATTGTTCTTCAGAAAAAGTGTGCCAATTTTCTGTTCTACCTGCAGGGTGTGAGACAGTTCTTAGGGGGGGAGAAGTCAAAACAATTGTATTGTCTATATTTTGACAAATTCATTATTAAGAGAAAGCTAGAGAAGCAAATCACAAGCTCTGAATTCACACATCACAATTCTAAATGTTTGTTGTTCTAATCCTCAATTTCAAGTTCTTGTTAATGCATCCACCATTTGAATATTTACTTTTTCAAAATATAGGAATGTGTTAATTTACCAAAGATCACAATCGGTTCTTTGCTTTTTGCTTATTTTTTGAGACAGAGTCCCACTTCGTTGTCCAGGCTGGAGTGCAATGGCATGATCTCGGCTCACTGCAACCTCTGCCTCCCAGGTTCAAATGACACTCTTGGCTCAGCCTCCCGAGTAGCTGGAATTACAGGTGCCTGCCACTATGCTCGGCTAATTTTTGTATTTTTAGTAGAGACGGGGTTTCACCATGTTGGTCAGGCTGGTCTCAAATTCCTGACCTCAGGTGATCTGCTGGCCTTGGCCTCCCAAAGTGCTGGGATTACAAGCGTGAGCCACTGCGCCCAGCCACCTGGCTAATTTTTGTATTTTTAGTAGAGACGGGGTTTCTCTATGTTGGCCAGGCTGGTCTCGAACCCCTGATCTCAGGTGATCCACCCACCTCGGACTCCCAAAGTGCTGGGATTGCAGGTGTGAGCCACTGTGCCCAGCCTGTATTTCCATTTTTAACATAACAAATGTTTCCTGAGCACCTTTCTGAGAAGAGTGTTTGAAAAAGGTATGTTAATGATTCCTGGAAATATGGGGACAGAGATTACCATAATTTAACATCTCTTTTCAGGAACACTTATTTCATTTTCCTCATTTTTAAATGTGAGTACTTTAAAACTTACAGAAAAGTTTACAAGAAAGTACAATACTAAATTTACCGAGTAGTAATATTTTGCTTTACTGTCTCTATTGAGCCATTTGAAGGTAGTTTACATAAATTACGGACATCATGAAAGTTCCCTGTAAGTGCTTCAGCATGCATTTCCTAACAATAGAGGCGATGTCTTACATAACCACAGGCTTGTTATCCGACCTGCAGACCTCATATCATCTGTGCATCTGAAAACTCATCACTTAGTGCCTATTTAAATTTCCCCAATTGTCTCATACTTTTCTGTTAGAGATTCTTTAAAATCCAACATCCGGCCAAGCTCAGTGGCTCACGACTGTAATCCCAGCATTTTGGGAGGCTGAGTTGGGTGGATCACCTGAGGTCGGGAGTTCAAGACCAGCCTGACCAAAATGGAAAAACCCCATCTCTACTAAAAATACAAAATTAGCCAGGCATGCTGGTGCATGCCTGTAATCCCAGCTACTCAGGAGGCTGAGGCAGGAGAATCACTTGAACCCGGGAGGCGGAGGTTGCAATGAGCCGAGATTATGCCATTGCACTCCAGCCTGGGCAACAAGAGTGAAACTCCATCTCAAAAAAAAAAAAAAAAAAAAAAAATTCCAACATCCACTCAAGGTTCATTCACTGCACTTGGTTAAATGCTTCTTAGTCACTTGTAATCTAGAACAGACACCCCCAGCCCCACTCCAGCCTTTCTTTGATTTTCAAGACTGACTCTTGAGAAGTCCAGGCCAGTTACCTTGCAGGACGTCTTACAGCCCAGATCTGTCAGAGGCTTTCCTCATGACTGGATTCAGGGCAAGTGTTTCTGGCAGGCGTTCCACCAGGACAGTACCCTGTTTCCTAAGTCATCACACTCAGAGGCTCAGAATGGCAGGAGCTCTCACCACGGGGGTGTTGAGTTTGGACATTTGGTGAAAGTTGAGGTCATCCTAATGTTTTGCTAAGAATCAGAGGGACCAGAGCTGCTTGCTTGAGACTTCCCAGTGCTTCCTGGAGAAGGGACTGTTGGAAATGGTCACAGACTGGGGGTTGGTTTTGTTCTGTATCATCTGTTCTCAGTGGTCTGTGACCAGCTGCCCTTCCCATTCTCCCAGATCCCAGGTGCAATTGCTCTTTTTCTTGCAGTCAAAGGCAGACTCCCTTTCTTGTGGAGGCCTCCATCCGGCACCGTGTGCCCTTGTGTGTCCATGAGTGTCACTGTCACACATTTACCACTGCACCTGTGCGCACTCTGCCTCTGGAGAGCCCTCCCCCAGACCCAGGGAGAAATATTTGTTTCTCTCTTTTTTTTTTGAGACGGAGTCTCGCTCTGTCGCCCAGGCTGGAGTGCAGTGGCGTGATCTCGGCTCACTGCAAGCTCCACCTCCCGGGTTCACGCCATTCTCCTGCCTCAGCCTCCCGAGTAGCTGGGACTACAGGCGCCCGCCACCGCGCCCGGCTAATTTTTTGTATTTTTAGTAGAGACGGGGTTTCACTGTGTTAGCCAGGATGGTCTCGATCTCCTGACCTCGTGATCACCCGCCTCGGCCTCCCAAAGTGCTGGGATTACAGGCGTGAGCCACTGCGCCCGGCCAAAATATTTGTTTCTAGCACAGAGTGCCCCGAGAGCTGCCCACTTTCTCCAGGAGACCTCTTTCCGTAAAGCTTTTTCAGCTTCTCTGATTACTTTGAGGAGAAAATTCTTAACTACGTGGTAACATACGTATGGCACTTGCTCAGAGCCCCTTTAGCGGAGAGGGTCCGGTCCCAGCTCTGGCAGCAGCTGCTCACGTAGTAGCAGTCAGGGGAGGTGGGGGTGGGGACGGTAAGGTGTCCGAGCAGCTCCAACAAGGAGAGGCCGTCACTCTGGCCGGGATAACAATTCAGATATCCAGCGTGCACCTGAATAGTAGAAATCCAGCATCCTTTTCTAAAAACAAAACAATAGCAAAATTCAGATCTGAGCTACTCTGTAGCATTTCTTTTTTTAGAGACAGAGTCTCGCTCTGCTGCCCAGGTTGGAGTGCAATAGCGAGATCTCTGCTCACTGCAGCCTCCACCTCCCAGGTTCGATTGTCCTGCCTCAGCCTCCCGAGTAGCTGGGATTACAGGCATCCGCCACCACGCCCAGCTAATTTTTGTATTTTTAGTAGAGACAGGGTTTCACCAGGTTGGCCAGGCTGGTCTCAAACTCCTGACCTCAGGTGATCCACCTGCCTCGGCCTCCCAAAGTGCTGGGATTACAGGAGTGAGCCACTGCGCCCGGCCATTTTTGTATTTTTTTTAGAGAGGCAGGGTTTTGCCACCTTGCTCAGGCTGGTCTCGAACTCCTGAGACCCAGTGACCCCCCACTCCTTGGCCTCCCAAAGTGCTGGGATTACAGGCGTAAGCCACCGCACCTGTTCGCAACAAACATAATTTCTAAAACAAAGGAGACTCTTTGCAGCGGCTGTACGTTCTTCTTCCTCACTGTCAGCATTCTCTTGTTGCAGAATACAACCTCCATTCATGTTGTTTTTATGAATGAATCTTTTTACCACTTTCTTACTATGACCAGGTCTGGAGGCAGAAAACCACGTTGTCTTCTCTGCCTAAAAAGCAACACCACATCTTCATAGACAAGGTTGGCTATGGAGTAGACTCACAGCATTCCATGATAACTAGTTAGAATGCAGCAGTGTTCCAAATGGGCCAAACCTTGTCCAGACAGGAGCAACAGGCAGCTCAGGGTCCCAGGAACACTCACCAGCTGGCAGCCCCTCGGGAAGCGGCTGGGCTTTCCACCTGTTCCTGCATGCTGGGCACACTCTGGCTTAGATGCCCTCTTACAGCTGCAGATGCTGTGGCGTGGTCCTCAGCCCTGAGGATGTGGGAGGAGAGGAAGCAGTCCTGTGCATGCAGGGGATGAGTCACGGGATTTTGCAGAGAGATATGGCAAGAGGATTGTTTATCTTGGACTCTTTGCAGTGCCATGGCTCTGAGGAAGCTCTCTGCAGCTACACACTCTACGAAGAGTGTTTCTCAACCTCAATGGTCACTATTTTGAAAGCCTTTTATTTCTTTACAGTCATTACATACTTTTAATTTAGCACTGGGTCTTGGCCATTCTCACATGATTGTATTAGTCAGGGTCCAACCAGGAAACGGAAACTGCCCAGATTATTTAAGACAGAGGATATTTAATGCAAGAAAGTGGCAACACATGGTGGAAAAGGCTGAGAAAGCAAATAAACAGTCAACACAGCGACGAGCAGCTTCAGGAAGCTTCTTATCCTCACCTAGGTAGGGTGAGGACAAGAGGAGAAGGTGGGCCAGGCACCATGACTCACGCCTGTAATCCCATCACTTTGGGAGGTCAAGGCGGGCAGATCACCTGAGGTCATGAGATTGAGACCAGCCTGGCCAACATGGTGGAACCTCATCTCTACTAAAAATACAAAAATTAGCCAGGCGTGGTGGCGTGCACCTGTAATCCCAGCTACTTGGGAGGCTGAGGCAGGAGAATTGTTGAACCCGGGAGGTGGAGTTTGCAGTGAGGCGAGATCACAACATTGTACTCCAACCTGGGCAACAAGAGCAAAACTCCGTCTCAAAAAACAAAACAAAACGAACAAAAACAAAGAGGAGGAGGTGGTGTCACCAGAGCCTAGGGGTCAGCGGAAGAAACTCTAGGATGTCTCTGTCCAAGGCAGAGAGGAAGGGAGAGAAGTATGCTGGATTCTTTCTGCCCTCTACTGTCTGACCTCCCAGGAGGAGTGTCTTCCATTGACTAAACCAGCAGAGTTTGTGACAGGTGACAGCAGTTTGAGGCCAGGTGACAGCAGAGTTTGAGATTCAGAACCTTCAGAAGTCAGAGCCCTGCCACACTGAGGAGGGCAGGGAAGGGGAAGGCGCAGCTCTGGGGACAAACCGCTGTCAGCCAGCATAGTCATCTGTGCTCAGGGCTAGCCTTGCTCTGCAATTTATGAATGCAGAGTTTTTAATTGAACCTTCCTGCATATGTTTTACATATCTAGTTGGTATAATTCATCCTTCCAGCCACATTACTCAGGCCTTTATTTTAGACTTTGTGTAGCTGTTGAACTACCTTGGAGATTACACAGGAATAACCAGCACTCAGTCAACTCACTGGTGTTTGGAACTCACAAGTAATAATTAATAATTGTGTTACTTGCTACCTTTACAGCCATGAAGCCCTTTCACATTCATGAGACTGGTTATTCTCATGCAACTCTGGAATAGTTATTATTACTCCCATTTTGTAGACGGATTCTCTGAGTCTTGGAGACTTTGTCTGAATTCCTAAAGGACAAATAACAAATAACAGAGGCAGAATTCAAACTCTGGTCTGCTTGGTTCCAAATTCCATGATCTTCCCATGATATCCTGCTGCTTCCTGCCAGGGCCACAACAAGAGTTTTTTTCTGGGCTGGTTGGCTGAGTTTAGGAGGAAGGAGAGGATATGTTTTAAACTTGCAAAATTCTTGATGACCCATAAATTAAAATGCCCCTCCTGAGTGTGACACAAGGCCTGGCTTGCCTTCCAGTCTGAAGGTTGCCTTTTCGCTGAGGGACCTGCACTCTTGCCCCTTACACGTCTAGATTCAGTTCTTCGATACGCAGGGCTGGCTCTTCCAGAGAGACTGGAGTCACAGCAGCAGGTACCACCCCACACCTGACAAGAGGTGGCCAGGGAGGAAGGGAGGGTTCTTACCTCCCCATCTCCCCTCAGTAAAATTCAGGATGCCCAGTGAAGTTTGAATGTCAGATAAACAATTTGTTAGTATAAGGATGTATCTAGCATTGAAATGATGCCTTGTAATTTACTAAATCTGCAACTATGCAGCCTTATTTCATGGCGGGCAGTGGTGGTGATCCCAGGTTTCAGGGGCGGGGAAGGGTGCTGGGGGGATCCTGAGGTCAGGAACCCGTACACCTCTGCTTCTGCCCTCTCTTCCCTGTGCCGGCCACAAGGCAATGACTCCTGTGTGGGTGCAGAGGCAGAAATGGGTCTGGAAGGGGATTCCCAGTGTCTGGCAAGTTCTGGTAAATTCTGCATTGGAGGTTCTCTCTGTAGTAAGGGGAGTTGGCCTGGCCTGAAGTGAAAGCTGGCTTACCCGGTTTCATTGAGCTCTTCAATTAGTCTGTTTGCACTGGTGAGCATTCAAATCTGATCAAGAAGGTAAAATGAGCTTTCAAGATCCCTAAATGCATTTGAAGAAAGGAAAGAGGAGGCCCCTGAGTGGCTGGAGCGAGCAGGTGGGGTGAGCTGGTGCCGCTGGCCCAGGAGAAGATGGGAGGGCAGACACTGGGCCTCCGGTAGGTGTCAAGGAATGGGCAGATGGAATGCTGGGGCCAGCTCTTGCCTCTGGGTCTGCAGAATGCAGAGCTGGGGGCATGCACTGGGCGTCAGGTCCCCAGCAGGGCAGCAGTGAGTGCAGCCTCGCTGCTGGGAGAAACTGCCCTGCTCACTCATCGGAGCTCGGGGAGCGAGGCGGGGCTGCTCTTAGCCCTGCCACTAAGTTCATCCACAACCTCGAGTAGTATCTCTGGGCCTTTGTTCACCTGGCAAATGTGATGAGTATATTGCATTTCCCTTATGGCTCCCCTTAGTTCTGAATCTCTGCTGGTGCGTGTATACCTTCAAGCCTTCTCATTATTGCTGTTCTCTGTGCACTGGCCAGGCAAGCGGGCTGGCAACCACGTTTCGTTAACCACCTTTATTCTACCCAAAGATTGCTTCTTCATTTTCCCTCCGTGTTTCCCCCGTCCAAGCAAAATATCAAACCTCTTTTTTCAAAGGGTCATAGTCAAATGAGTGAACCAAAGAGATCAACGCTTTTGTAACAGCCCCACATCAGCAGCTGAGGAGTAACTCTGGGACAGAGGCCCCCATCCGTGTTTCCGTCTCCGTCCACTCTCCAGTTGTTCATTCATTCACTCAGCAAGTACTTACTGAGCTCAGGGGATGCATCAGACCGATTGGAGCTGGAGGCAGGAAAACTTCAGCAGAATTACAAAATATGGGAAACTCCAGGTGACTGGAGGCCTGGTTACTCAAGCTTTTTGCTTCTCCCTTCTGTGCTGGACTCGCTGAAGTTTAGTGTTCAGCCACCCGTCCATCAAGTGGTAGAGGCAAAATGAAATTGAGTTCTTGTCAACAGTTTCAGTGAAAGGCCGGAAGTCTTGGCTAAATGGAGGTATCTGAGTATCCTGTGGGCTGCACCTCTATGGAGCTCCACAGAGCTCCAAGACCACATAGAATTGGAACTGGCTCCTTCTGCCGATAATACAAACAGCCCTCTGGGATGTCCTTCTCTGACTTACCTCTTCCCTGCTCTCTGTCCACAGGGCTGCCCTTGAGATGGAGTTGCTGCCTCTTTGGCTCTGCCTGGGTTTTCACTTCCTGACCGTGGGCTGGAGGAACAGAAGCGGAACAGCCACAGCAGCCTCCCAAGGAGTCTGCAAGTTGGTGAGTTTCCCTTGAACCCTGATCTGTCGGCTGCTCCTGTCCTGACAAGGCTTGGTCCATTTGGAAAGCTGACAGATTGTCCATCAGGAAGGGCAGAGAATGAAGGAGCCTGCATCACTCTGTGCCTGCCTAGCACAGGGGCATGTGCAGCTGCCCTTTAACCACAGGATTTTAAGATGCTTCCTGGGAAGAGCCAGGCAGTCCCTGCCCCGCCGTTCTCACGCCTGCTGAGGATAGGAGGCATCCGAGACCAGCCTAGGGCATCCTCCCGGAACAAGAACAACTTGTTAAAAATCTGGATGATTCAGGCCGGGTGCAGTGGCTCAGGCCTGTAATCCCAGCACTTTAGGAGGCCGAGGCAGGCAGATCACTTGAGCCCAGGAGTTGGAGACTAGCCTGGGCAACATGATGAAACCACATCTCTACAAAATACAAGAATCAGTCAGGTGCGGTGGCACACACCTATAGTCCCAGCTACTTGGGAGGCTGAGATGTGAGGGTGGCTTGAGCCCAGGAAGTGGAGGTTGCAGTGAGCTGAGATCATGCCCCTGCACTCCAACCTAGGTGATGGGGCCAGACCTTGTCTTTAAAAAAAAAAAAAAAAAAGCCAGGCGCGGTGGCTCACGCCTGTCATCCCAGTACTTAGGGAGGCCAAGTCCGGCGGATCACCTGAGGTCAGGAGTTCGAGACTAGCCTGGCCAACATGGTGAAACCCCGTCTCTACTAAAAATACAAAAATTAGCTGGGCGTGGTGGTGCATGCCTGTAATTCCAGCTACTTGGGAAGCTGAAGGAGGAGAATCGCTTGAACCCGGGAGACGGAGGTTGCAGTGAGCCGAGATCACACCCCTGCACTCCATCCTGGGCGACAGAGTGAGACTCTCTCAAAAAAAGAAAAAAACAAAACAAAACAAAAAACTGGATGACTGAGCTGCACCGATGGTATGAGAATCTCCGGGTGAGGTGCTTGAGAGCTGGAGAAGCCTGCCTCGGAGTTTGTGGACGAGTTGACCGCTAAGGCTTACACAGCTGCGGGGAGGACTTGCTGCCATGCCACTCTGCAGAGCGGCAGCCCGGACCACGCTCAGGCTAAGAAGACCCGGAGCGTGGATACCCAAGCCTCCTCTAGGGCTTTCAGCCTAGATGTGAAAATAGACTTGGGTCCAAACTGAGAAATTTCCAGTAATTTTCCCCTTCATCTATATAACAATGATATCAAAAGTCTGCTCAAGAAACACATATTTAGGCCAGGTGCATGGCTCACGCCTGTCATCCCAGCACTTTGGGAGGCCGAGGCGGGCAGATCACAAGGTCAAGAGGTCGAGACCAGCCTGGCCAACATAGTAAAAACCCGTCTCTACTAAAAATACAAAAATTACCCAGGCATGGTGGCACATGCTTGTAGTCCCAGCTACTCGGGAGGCTGAGGAAGATTGCTTGAACCTGGGAGGCAGAGGTTGCAGTGAGCTGACATCGTGCCACTGCACTCCAGCCTGGGTGACAGAGTGATACTCCATCTCAAAAAAGAAAAAAAAAATGAAACACATATTTAATAAACATTTCTTGAGCCATATTATATACTAGGCGTTGGGAAGACAAATTGGATGTCAGGGCTAACACTTACATTCAAGTATGTATTCTTAAAGCATAGCTGTCATGGTTTTTAACCTCTTTTAGTAGGAACCTATAACCACTGTGCTAGAGTCTATTCCAATATGACATAGAGGTTACAAGCTAGACTGGCCTGGTTTAAACCCAGCCCCACCCTTAGCTGGTGACATTGGGGTCACTCTAGGTCATAGTTTCTCCATCTGTAGAATATATACGTAATAATAATATCTACCAATAACATCATGCTGTGTTGACTGATGATTAAATGGGTTAATACATGTAAAGCACTCAGGACAGTGCCTGGTAGGTAGTCAGTGCTACGCGTTTTATCCGTTATCACTCATATTATTATTAATCTCTGCTATGTTTGACCTCCAGCATTCTCTTACAGAGGCAATAAAGGATTAACTACACAGTAGTTATTCAGGGGTTACCAGGCACAGGAAGAGGAGAGATAAATGAACAGCCTTTCAGAGTTCAGGCAAGGCCCTCTGCTTGACACTTTCTGGCCCAGTGGGCAGGAGTAGAGAATTGGCTGCCAGGAAGCCCAAAGAGTGGGTTTCCTGTGGCTCTTCCGAGTTGAGGACTGAGAATTGGAGAGTCTGGGTGCCCTCCACTGGCCCTCATCACATTATCCATTTGACCTTATTAGAAAGTGGACGTTGGCCAGGTGCGGTGGCTCCCGCCTGTAATCTCAGCACTTTGGGAGGCCGAAGCAGGCAGATCACCTGAGGTCAGGAGTTTGAGACCAGCCTGACCAACATGGTGAAAGCCCGTCTCTACTAAAAATACAAAAATTAGCCAGGCATGGTGACGGGCACCTGTGATCTCAGCTACTCAGGAGGCTGAGGCAGGCGAATCGCTTGAACCAGGGAGGCCGAGGTTGCAGTGAGCTGAGATCGCGCCACTGCACTCCAGCCTGGGCGACAGAGCAAGACTCCGTATCAAAAAAAAAAAAAAGAAAAAGAAAGTGGACATGGTAAGCTTTTCTGGGATGGCCATATGGTCCTTCTACATCACTTCAGCGGGGCCACAGGGAATTGCAGAGGTGTGACCCACGACTGCAGCAGCTGTGGTGGAACAGCACCCCATAGCGTGAAGAAAGCCCCTGACCACAACATTCTCCAGTGAGTCCACACGCAGGGAGGAGCGCAACACCCACTCACATAAAGACACACACCTGGCCGGGCGCGGTGGCTCACACCTGTAATCCCAGCACTTGGGGAGGCCAAGGCAGGTGGATCACCCGAGGTCAGGGTGGCCAACATGGCAAAACTCTGCCTCTACTAAAAATACAAAATTAGCCCGGTGTGGTGGTGTGAGTCTGTAATCCCAGCTACGTGGGAGGCTAAGGCAGCAGAATCGCTTGAACCCGGCAGGCAGAGGTTGCAGCAAGCAGAGATGGCGCCATTGCACTCCAGCCTGGACGACAAGAGTGAGACTCTGTCTCAAAAAAAAAAAAAAAAGATAAAAATTCTCTTCCAGAGTACTTTGTAATTATAATGCAATCCCAATCAAAATACCAAAGAGGGAAGGGGGATGTGGAAAGAACTTGGCAAATCCTTTCTAACGTTCGTCTGGAAATTAGAGAAACCCAAATGCTCAACAATAGGAGATGATTAATTAGATCATCCTAATAATTATAGCTCACATTTATTAAGCACAGTAAATGTGTTTCACCTCAACAGTCACACTTGATCCTGAAAAAAAACGCTATGCGAAAATGACGAGTATAATTTCGGTTTTACAGGCAGGGTAATGGAGGTCTCTTTCGGTTCCGTAACCATCCAAAGGTCACCCATTTGATCAAAAGCAGAGCCACGAAGCATTGGCCCTGGAACTCTTGCTCTCAGCCACTGTGCTATTCATGAGATGAATGCATATGCTTCCTAAAAAGATTATGATCACATTTATTTGTACTGCCAAGGCAATAAGTCCGTCATACTTTATTGACAGGGGGAGAAAAATAGGTTACTGAACAGTTTGCACAGTATGGTCTTATTTTTGTTTTTTAGACAAAGGTAGGTAATATCTTACGAAAGATCCAGAAAGACATGGAACAGAAGGTGACTGGTGTTTCTCTGAGAGAGAGGCGGAGGTGACAGAAGAGTTGAGGTTTCCATATGTCAATACAGTATCAATGTTTAATTATTGGAAGGTTTTATTTTAATTATCAGATAAAGAACCCGAGGGGCCAAGAAATTCCACTGCTAGTGGTGGTAGAGCCGAGATTCAGATTGAGTCTGTCCTCCAAACCTGTGCTTCTTCTAACCTCTCTCTCGGGATTTTCCTCTTCTGTTGCCGTGCTGCACTTGCCCTCTGGGATTGAACCCACAATTGTAGGCAACCACTGCCCTTGTATTACTGATAAACTTGTGCAAACGAATGCCATTGCTCCTCTATCTTATCACTTAAAACTTCTTTCTGGCCGGGCACGGTGGCTCACGCCTGTAATCCCAGCACTTTTGGGAGGCCGAGGCAGGCAGATCACCTGAAGTCAGGAGTTCGAGACCAGCCTGGTCAACATGGTGAAACCCCGTCTCTACTAAAAATACAAAAAAAGTTAGCTGGGCGTGGTGGCATGTGCCTGTAATCCCAGCTACTCGGGAGGCTGAAACAGGAGAATTGCTCGAACCCAGGAGGCAGAGATTGCAGTGAGCTGAGATCACACCATTGCACTCCAGCCTGGGTGACAGGGTAAGACTTCATCTCAAAAAAACAAAAAACAAAAAAACCATTTTTGTCCTAGACACCTAAATAACATCCTATGGCTGATGGTTGTTTTTGCCAATTTTGCAAAGCGTGGGGTGAATTAAAGTATCCTGCACGTGTGCTTTCTGCAGTGCGACCAGGGTGGCCTCGTCCCTCCCGCCTCCTTATTCTGCATGATCAGAGTAGAGCCCTGTTTAGGAAAAGCACTGAACTGGGCATTCAGAGCCCTGGGCTCCAGTCCCGGCACAGCCACTGGCTCTTCACTTCTCCCCTCCAGACCCACTTTACTTCCCTGTACAATTCAGGATGGTGAAAGCTCTCAAGTCCTTTTTTTTTTTTTTTTTTTTTTGAGATGGAGTCTTGCTCTGTCGCCCAGGCTGGAGTGCAGTGGTGCAGTGGTGCAGTCTCGGCTCACTGCAATCTCTGCCTCCTGGGTTCAAGCAATTCTCTGCCTCAGCCTCCGGAGTAGCTGGGATTACAGGTGTCCACCACCACACCCGGCTAGTTTTTTGTATTTCCTGTAGAGACAGGACCTCACCATGTTGGCCAGGCTGGTTTTGAACTCCTGACCTCAAGTGATCCACCTGCCTCGGCCTCCCAAAGTGCTGGGATTACAGGCATGAACCACCGTGCCCGGCCTTGTCTATCCTATTTTTAAAATGAACATCTCTAGAGCCATCCCCGGCGGTTGCAGGGACAGTCTGATAAGTGAACTAAGTTTCTATGCATAAATGCTTGCCTCTGGGCCTCCTCGCTGCTGACCGGTGTGGTTTTGGCCGCAGGTGGGTGGAGCCGCTGACTGCCGAGGGCAGAGCCTCGCTTCGGTGCCCAGCAGCCTCCCGCCCCACGCCCGGATGCTCACCCTGGATGCCAACCCTCTCAAGACCCTGTGGAATCACTCCCTCCAGCCTTACCCTCTCCTGGAGAGCCTCAGCCTGCACAGCTGCCACCTGGAGCGCATCAGCCGCGGCGCCTTCCAGGAGCAAGGTCACCTGCGCAGCCTGGTCCTGGGGGACAACTGCCTCTCAGAGAACTACGAAGAGACGGCAGCCGCCCTCCACGCCCTGCCGGGCCTGCGGAGGCTGGACTTGTCAGGAAACGCCCTGACGGAGGACATGGCAGCCCTCATGCTCCAGAACCTCTCCTCGCTGCGGTCCGTGTCCCTGGCGGGGAACACCATCATGCGGCTGGACGACTCCGTCTTCGAGGGCCTGGAGCGTCTCCGGGAGCTGGATCTGCAGAGGAACTACATCTTCGAGATCGAGGGCGGCGCTTTCGACGGCCTGGCTGAGCTGAGGCACCTCAACCTGGCCTTCAACAACCTCCCCTGCATCGTGGACTTCGGGCTCACGCGGCTGCGGGTCCTCAACGTCAGCTACAACGTCCTGGAGTGGTTCCTCGCGACCGGGGGAGAGGCTGCCTTCGAGCTGGAGACGCTGGACCTGTCTCACAACCAGCTGCTGTTCTTCCCGCTGCTGCCCCAGTACAGCAAGTTGCGGACCCTCCTGCTGCGCGACAACAACATGGGCTTCTACCGGGACCTGTACAACACCTCGTCGCCGAGGGAGATGGTGGCCCAGTTCCTCCTCGTGGACGGCAACGTGACCAACATCACCACCGTCAGCCTCTGGGAAGAATTCTCCTCCAGCGACCTCGCAGATCTCCGCTTCCTGGACATGAGCCAGAACCAGTTCCAGTACCTGCCAGACGGCTTCCTGAGGAAAATGCCTTCCCTCTCCCACCTGAACCTCCACCAGAATTGCCTGATGACGCTTCACATTCGGGAGCACGAGCCCCCCGGAGCGCTCACCGAGCTGGACCTGAGCCACAACCAGCTGTCGGAGCTGCACCTGGCTCCGGGGCTGGCCAGCTGCCTGGGCAGCCTGCGCTTGTTCAACCTGAGCTCCAACCAGCTCCTGGGCGTCCCCCCTGGCCTCTTCGCCAATGCTAGGAACATCACTACACTTGACATGAGCCACAATCAGATCTCACTTTGTCCCCTGCCAGCTGCCTCGGACCGGGTGGGCCCCCCTAGCTGTGTGGATTTCAGGAATATGGCATCTTTAAGGAGCCTGTCTCTGGAGGGCTGTGGCCTGGGGGCATTGCCAGACTGCCCATTCCAAGGGACCTCCCTGACCTACTTAGACCTCTCAAGCAACTGGGGGGTTCTGAATGGGAGCCTCGCCCCACTCCAGGATGTTGCCCCCATGTTACAGGTCCTGTCTCTCAGGAACATGGGCCTCCACTCCAGCTTTATGGCGTTGGACTTCTCTGGGTTTGGGAATCTCAGGGACTTAGATCTGTCGGGGAATTGCTTGACCACCTTCCCAAGGTTTGGGGGCAGCCTGGCCCTGGAGACCCTGGATCTCCGTAGAAACTCGCTCACAGCCCTTCCCCAGAAGGCTGTGTCTGAGCAGCTCTCGAGAGGTCTGCGGACCATCTACCTCAGTCAGAATCCATATGACTGCTGTGGGGTGGATGGCTGGGGGGCCCTGCAGCATGGGCAGACGGTGGCCGACTGGGCCATGGTCACCTGCAACCTCTCCTCCAAGATCATCCGCGTGACGGAGCTGCCCGGAGGTGTGCCTCGGGACTGCAAGTGGGAGCGGCTGGACCTGGGCCTGCTCTACCTCGTGCTCATCCTCCCCAGCTGCCTCACCCTGCTGGTGGCCTGCACTGTCATCGTCCTCACTTTTAAGAAGCCTCTGCTTCAGGTCATCAAGAGCCGCTGCCACTGGTCCTCCGTTTACTGACCTGGCTGTGTGCCAAGACTCGAAATTCGGTCCGCACACAACAGGACACTTTCTCTGCCAGCTTTCAAGATGTGATGCAGAGGCCAAGTCTGACGAATTGAAGTTTCAATTAAAATTTAATATGTTTCCATTCCTCATCGCCCACCCCACCCCCGCCCCCACCACCGCCCAAGTTCTTTTTCCATCATTATAATTCATCCTCATTATCTTGGTAAAATATTTATTAAGTGACTTTTTCAGAAATAAAAGGCAACGTGTCTCATAAATATTTTTTAAATTAAATGCAGCTTGTGTTTTTTTTTATTGTTCCTTGGTTTCCCTTGGATTATTTTGTAGTGTCCTCCCCTTGGTGACATCCATGGAGCCGAGGGTAGCAATTCAATGCAACCTACTGGAAAAAGAACTCCAAGAGCAGGTGCTAGAGATGGTGAGTCAGTGCCCTGGGGACTCAACAGGGACAAGGATTTCATAGCAGGACGACGACACAAGGATTTCATAGCAGGACGACGACAACAAAGCATTTCAAAGCACAGCTGGAGGGTCTGACATAAGATCATAAGATGAGGCCTCTCACCTGCTGCGTGACTGGCCACCGCCGTCAGAACGGTCCTGTGATCCTAGCACTTTGGGAGGCTGAGGCGGGTCACCTGAGGTCAGGAGTTCGAGACCAGCTTGGCGAACATGGTGAAACCCCGTCTCTACTAAAAATACAGAAATTAGCCGGGTGTGGTGGCGGGCGCCTGTAATCCCAGCTACTTGGGAGGCTGAGACAGGAGAATTGCTTGAACCCAGGAGGCGGAGGTTGCAGTGAACCGAGATCACACCACTGCACCCCAGCCTGGGCGATGGAGCAAGACCCCGTCTCAAAAAATAAACAAATAAATAAAATAATGGACCTCTAGCTGGGCCCTCTCCAGGTGCCCTGGCTTCATACCCGGAGTCTCTGGCAGACAGACATGACTCTTCCATGGAGAAACCAAGAGAATAATAACTGGCCCCGAGTTTATCCAGTCAGTAAGCCGACTGCCAGAGACAGTCCTCGTTCTGAAGGGAAGTAAAGAGGAATGCAGAAAGGAATGAATTCTGCTCACTTGTGAACCCTCCTAACTCTTCACAAAAAATTGCTTACAACTTCATAGCAGATGTTCAGTATCTGTATTCACTAGATTCTTAGCTTCCCTTCTCCCTCTGTTCAATGACTAACGAACAATGTCTGTGCTCCTCTCTGAGAGAAAAGATAACAAGGACACAGCCCCCGTCCTCTGGTAGTTTAGAATTTACACTGTCCTCAAAGTTTTTAATCCCTGCTTACTAAATCATAAAGGAATTAAACGCAATGGGGGAGGGATGGGGAGGGAGAGAGGCTAGAAATCCCACAAACTGATAGCTATTACCATGCAGACTAACTGTCAGCAGAAATATTTAGGCAAATCAAAGAGATAAAATCAGTGGTCTTACTCTGACACAGCAGAAACTTCCCTTGGATGCTCTACAGAGGTTTGAACAAGGCCATCTCAGGCCCCACATTCAGTAGCGTTAGCGGCAGGTCCTGTTAGGCTTTGCCATCTCAGGCCCCACATTCAGTAGCGTTAGCGGCAGGTCCTGTTGGGCTTTGCCCTTGCTATGACCCCACCGTTCCCTCCTGCACTGCGCCCAGCCTAGTGTCGTGGATGTCTCTCAGGTTGCCTTGAAGCCTTCCGGGCAAGTCCCATCAGCCAACGCAACATCAGACCAGACTCTCCTGATTTCCTCTCCCCATCAACAAAACCCTTCTCTGGGGTCCTGCTGTTTCCTAATGTGAACACTAGCTAATTAGACAAATGCATCTATCTGTGGCTGGTGCACTGACGGCTTCTCTTGAGTTAATGCGTCACCTCTGGTATCCATCAGTGTTCTTAGTCTCATGCAACTGAAGACGGTTCTGTCTGATTTAAGTAGCTTACGCATTTAGTAAGAGAATATTAGTAAGCTCTGGACTCTCGGGAAGGCTGAGGAACAGGCTTGGAAAATGGGCAGGAACAGAAGATGCTGTGTAGCAATTGGGACCAGCTGGTCTCGAACTCCTGACCTCAGCCCAAACCATGCCATGAGCAGTAACTGTGGGAGCATGGCTGCAGCCACCCCTGCCACCTTCTGCTGAAATAAATGCTCCCCAAATTCTGCTGCATCGCCAGCTCCTGACCGTGGTCATGTGCCCCTGCCCTGAGTACAAGAAGGACTGGCACGGCAATGCTGTACCCCTTGGCGAGGTGTCTATGGCAGAAGATAGGCTCCGTGTCCTCCAAATTCTTATGAGGGGGCAGAGTTCTTGAAACCTAAGAAAGGAAGTGAGACGTTGAGCAAACAAAATGAATGAAAAGTAAGTCCCGTATCCTTTTATGGCTGCATGTACATTTTATTTATTTATTTATTTATTTATTTATTTATTTATTTATTAGCCTGAGTCTCGCTTTGTTGCCCAGGCTGGAGTGCAGTGGCGTGATCTCTGCTCACTGCAACCTCTGCCTCCCAGGTTCAAGCGATTCTCCTGCCTCAGCCTCCTGAATAGCTGGGACTACAGGCGCCCGCCACCACACCCAGCTAATTTTTGTATTTTTAGTAGAGACACGGTTTCACCATGTTGGCCAGGCTGGTCTTGAACTCCTGGCCTCAGGGTGATCCGCCCACTGTGGCCTCCCAAAGTGTTGGGATTACAGGCGTGAGCCACCGCGCCCAGGCAGCGTGTACATTTTAGCAGGCAACTTCTGGAAGCAAATTCTTAGCACAAAGAAATGACTCAAATGATGGAAACTTCAGACAGAAACTCAGGGCAGTCGGGGAGATAGTTTGGGGTTCAGCAGGACTTTTGAAGCCCCTCAAGTCACACCATGTAGCTGACCACCCACTCTTTCTGTTCTTGGGGTCCAGCCCGGGAGGATGACAAATTGAGCCCCAGCCCTGCCTGTGACTGTGACTTTAGAAGGCTGTGGGCTTTCCTTCCTAGTGTTTTCCATCACAAGGATCCAAAGGTGATTTCCTGCCGGGTGCGGTGGCTCATGCCTATAATCCCAGCACTTTGGGAAGCTGAGGTGGGTGGATCACCTGAGGTCAGGAGTTCGAGACCCGCCTGGCCAATATGGTGAAACCCCATCTCTACTAAAAATACAAAAATTAGCTGGGCGTGGTGGCGTGTGCCTGTAGTCCCAGCTACTCGGGAGGCTGAGGCAGGAGAATCGCTTGAACCTGGGAGGCGGAGGTTGCAGTGAGCAGAGATGGCGCCACTGTAGTCCAGCCTGGTCGACAAGACAAAATTCCGTCTCAAAAAAAAAAGGATGATTTTCTAGGTTTCTCTCAGTATGCGGAAAGTTACATAGGGAAGGTGCTTTCTGCCTTCAGTGCTCAGCTATGGTTCCCCCAGCAAATTCTGTCCCCTTTCCCTGCTTCTCCCACTCCGACCTGGACCCATAGGAGAACCTACTGGCGAGGGAAGGACCCACAAAGCCTGTTACCAGAGTTCTTCGGTGGGGCCAGAATGGTGTCTGCCTAAGAGCTCCCATTCAGCCAGGTGGGGCACCACGTGGTTCTTCCTCAGTGGGTGGGCAGTAGGGGGCCATTTCCGGTTGCCACATGCCAGAATATTCACACAGGAGGATATTCAGAATCACAGATAAATCATGTCAGAGACTGGTCTGTGAACATGAGTAACAGTAACTTAGATTTTGGAAATCCAGTCATAAAACAAAAGCTGAAGGTTTTTCTGGAGGCATTTAAGTTAGGGATCAATTGATTTTTTTCCGTTCTTTCTTTTTTTGAGATGGAGTCTTGCTCTGTCACCCAGGCTGGAGTGCAATGGCGCAATCTCGGCTCACTGCAAACTCCGCCTCCCGGGTTCAAGCGATTCTCCTGCCTCAGCCTCCTGAGTAGCTGGGATGACAGGTGCCTGCCACCACGCCCAGCTAATTTTTGTATTTTTAGTAGAGATGGGGTTTCACCATGTTGGCCAGGCCGGCCTCGAACTCCTGACCTTGTGATCCGCCCGCCTCGGCCTCCCACAGTGCTGGGATGACAGGCTGAGCCACGGCGCCTGCTGATTTCTTTTTTTAAACGACCCCAGTTGCAAGCAATTGGACAAACTCTAATCCTTGGTTTGTATCACTGGTCATATCACTTTTTATTTATTTAATGTGCCAGATAACTTCCATTTGCCCCTCCAGATCTACTTCCCACTCTTTTCCACCCTGCCCCAGGAGGCTGGCCTCAATGGGCTCCCTTGCCCTTTGGCTTCCAGTGGTATTTGGCTAAGAAGGAGGTTTGGCAAATCACAGGGGAGGAAGAAAGTGAGGTCAGAGTATTTATTCTCCTGACTCCTCCCTGTAGATTTGTCTCAAACTGGCTGCACCTATCAACCAAACTCACACTCGTCTCAAGGCGGCTCTTTGCACACGAATCTCTGCCTTAGGTATCTAGGAACCACTCACTCCCCTGGCTCTCTTCTCTGGGCCTAGCATGGGTAACAGCTCTGCCTCACCAGCTCGTGTAATTGCATTATCCTTTGCGGTTTGCCCTCCCCTCTCCACCGCTTTGTGAATCGTCCCTTTGTAAATCCTCCTGACTTGTCCTTGTTTGAACGTGCCATCTGGTTCCTGCTGGGTCCCTGCATGACGCAGCTGGCTACTCATTTAGTAATCCTGAGCCCGAGAGATTCCAGCACTTGTGTCAGGGAGCCACAGAGTGCTAAGGATGCGCGGCCAGCGCTAGGAAAGCAAATCTCCCGAAGATGGAGTCCCCTGATTTCCATGGAGTCCATGCGTGGACATGAGGAAGAAGGTGGACATGAGGAAGATGGCACGCCTCAGTGTGTTACAAACATATTCATATTTTACCCAAATTAGAGTGGGAGAAGTTTCCAGCCTTGGAGACCTTCTTTAAAAGAGTGTGGGTGTTGCAATGACCAAAGCAAACAGATGATGGAGCTGGGGAAAAAAAAAGTGTTATTTAAAAAAATCCTTCTCGGCCGGGTGCAGTGGCTCATGCCTATAATCCCAGCACTCTGGAAGGCTGAAGCAGGCGGATCACCTGAGGTCAGGAGTTTGAGACCAGCCTGCCCAACATGGCGAAACCCCGTCTCCACTAAAAATACAAAAAATTACCCGGCGTGGTGGCACATGCCTGTAATCCCAGCTACTGCGGGGGCTGAGGCAGGAGGATCTCTTGAACCCGGGAGGCGGAGGTTGCATTGAGCCAAGATCGTGCCACTGCACTCCAGCCTGGGTGACAAGAGCGAAACTGTGTCTCAAAAAAACAAAAACGAAAAACAAAAAAAAACACTTCTCACCAACTAGTCATCTTCTATTTCATCCTCATCAACAAGTACCAAGCACTTATTTTGTGCTAAGTGCTTTATGTGGATAATTTCGCTTAATCTTGGAGAAAACTCTAGGCTGAGAGCGCTTAAGATTTGTTCAAGGTGGCTGGGCGTGGGGGCTCATGCCTGTAATCTCAGCACTTAGGGAGGCCATGGTGGGAGGATCACTTGAGGGTAGGATTTTGAGACCAGCCTGGGCAACAGAGCAAGACCCCATCTCTACAAAAAAATACAAAAATTAGTCAGGCATGGTAGCATGCGCCTGCAGGCTCAGCTACTCGAGAGGCTGATCACTTGAGCCCAGGAGGTGGAAGCTGCAGGGAGCCACGATCGCACCATGGCACTCCAGCCTGGGCAATAGAATGAGACCCTCTCTCAAAAAAAAAAAAAAAAAAAAAAAAAAAGATGATTTGCCCAAGAACTGTGGTGAAGATGTTAACATTACGCAAAGAAGAGCAAACAGCATCAACAACTTGTCATCTTTATCAAGTCTATCAGACTGTCAGCCGATAGTGGTTAGTGGCTGCGGAACAGCACGTTTGCTAATGAAATGGCAGACGTGGAGAAGGTTCGTATGGGGTACAGGTGACGAAGCACATAGTGATGGAAGATCACTCACTTCCACTGAGACTGTTCAAAGGCAGCAGCATGATGCAGTGATAGCTTGGAGGTAATTAACAACAGAGGAACCTTACTCAATTCCTTCCTCCTTCAGCCAAGCAACATCTTCCTGCTGAACAGTCAGGATCAAAGGCTGATGTAGGGGGACCCTGGTTTTCACCATGATTTTAATGGTTCATGGTGGGTGTGGGCACTGATTAGGAAAACCATCTTGCCAGGGAGGAAACTGTTTCTGAGATAATCACCTGATCCAAATTTTTCAAACGTAGAACCCAATTATAGATGTCATTTCTCTGGGCCTAGGCAAAGACTGGGCACAGTGGCTCATGCCTGTAATCCCAGCACTTTGGGAGGCCGAGGTGGGTGGATCACCTGAGGTCAGGAGTTCGAGACCAGTCTGACCAATATGGTGAAACCCCATCTCTACTAAAAATACGAAAATTAGCTAGGCTTGGTGGCGTGCCCCTGTAGTCCCAGCTACTCGGGAAGCTGAGACAGGATAATTGCTTGAACCTGGGAGACGGAGGTTGCAGTGAGCAGAGATCATGCCACTGCACTCCAGCCTGGGCGACAGAGCAAGACTGCGTCAAAAAAAAAAAGAGAGAGAGAGAGAAAGAAAAAGAAAGAAATAAAAGAAAGAAAGAAAGAAGGAAAGAAAGAGAAAGAGAGAGAGAGAGAAATGAAGGAAGGAAGGAATGAAGGAAGGAAGGAAGAAAAGCAGAAAGAAAGATTAGGCTAAATACCAAGATGGACTACTCATTCAGAGACTTAGTAGTTGTTGAAGCATTGATTCATTCACTCCAGGACCTTGAGAGCTCAAGCAGTTGGTTCTTGTTCTCAGCTTTACCAAGAATGGTAGGTGGTGGAAGGATGAGAGCCAGCTAAACCCCAGGAAAGACTGGAAGAGGAGGATCACAAGGCACAGACCTTGACTCCCCAAGGAGTCACTCTCAAATTATACTTCTCAGGGCTCCTTAAAAATGGTCTTCTTTAAGGCTGAGGCAGGTGGATTGCCTGCGGTCAGGAGTTCGAGACCCGCCTAGGCAACATGGTGAAACCCCCGTCTCTACTAAAAATACAAAAATTAGCCAGGCGTGGTGGCGGGCTCCTGTAGTCCCAACTACTAGGAAGGCTGAGGCATGAGAATTGCTTGAACTCGGGAGGCGGAGGTTGCAGTGAGCCGAGAGATCACGCCATTGCACCCCAGCCTGGGTGACAGAGTGAGACTCTTGTCTCCAAAAAAAAAAAAAGGGTCCTCTGTAATTGGTCCCAAGAGCCTCTGTGACTTTCACTCATTCGGGACACGGCTTTTGTTCAAGGTCCCATCTTCCTCCCAGTGCAATCGGTGCAATGACTGTCCTCAGCAGCTTTTTGGACCTTCTGTCCAAAGTTGGTTCTGTCGAAGGACAGTCAAACTCTGGAAAAAAATTAAAAAAAAAAAAAAAAAAAAAAAAATATATATATATATATATATATATATATATATATTTTTTTTTTTTTTTTTTTTTTTTTGAGACAGAGTCTTGCTCTGTCCCCCAGGCTGGAGTGCAGTTGCACGATCTCGGCTCACTGCAACCTCTGCCTCTGGTGTTCGATCAATTCTCTGCCTCAGTCTCCCGAGTAGCTGGCATTACAGATGCCAGCCACCATGCCTGGCTAATTTTTGTATTTTTAGTAGAGATGGGGTTTCACCATGTTGGCCAGGCTTGTTTCGCACTCCTGACCTCAGGTGATCCACTTGCCTCGGCCTCCCAATGTGCTGGGGATTACAGGTGTGAGCCACCATGTCTGGCCAGAACTCTATAAAATATTTGAAGAGACTTATAGAACTCTGTAAAATACTTGAAGAGATTTATTCTGAGCCAAATACGAGTGACCATGGCCCATGACAAGTCCTGAGAACGTGTGCCGAAGGTGGTCAGGGCACGGCTTGGTTTTATACATTTTAGAGAGGCAGGAGACTTCAATCAAATACATTTAAGAAATGCATTGCAGCCAGGCACGGTGGCTCACGCCTGTAATCCCAGCATTCTAGGAGGCTGAGGCAGGCGGATCACAAGGTCAAGAGATCGAGACCATCCTGGCCAACATGGTGAAACCCCGTCTCTACTAAAAATACAAAAATTAGCTGGGCGTGGTGGGGCACACCTGTAATCCCACCTACTCGGGAGGCTGAGGCAGGAGAATTGCTTGAACCCAAGAGGCAGAGGTTGTTGTGAGCTGAGATCCTGCCACTGCACTCCAGCCTGGCTGACAGAGTTAGACTCCATGTCAAGAAAAATTAAAAAAATTAAAAACTTGCATCATATTTAAAACTCTTAACCCTGTACACACTGAGTTTGCAACCAGTATTCCCTCCCTTTGCTTCTTTCAAGGGTGTTTAGCTTATAAATGGCAACACAGCAAACCATTTTACATATAAGAACATGCAGAGCAATTCTGACACTAAGTGAGTCTGTGTCTCAGTGACTGATTAACCCTGATTGATTTGATTGATTAACCCTTAGTAACTTTACATAACAGCATCTTATCTTGCTGAGACTGAGAGAAGTTTCTTGCATCATCTCATAATCTTAAGAGAGATGGTATTGGCAGATCACAGTTCAAAACCAGTCTTCCCACAGACCTCCAAAACCTTTGTCTAGGAGAACATGGGAAGGTACACATACAGCCACATCAAATCTCAGTGGGGATAAAGCTGGCATGGACACTGCGGGGGCCTGCACACTGCTACCCCAGTGGGGCCTCCCAGTCATTGAGGGAGAAGTGGGGCCGGCATGGGGAGGGCAGAGAGAGCAAGGAGGAGGGGGAGAGGTCATGCTCTGGAAGATGGGTGTGTGCTCTCTTTTCCGGCTACTGTTTTCAGTGTGGTAAGCAAATCCCTTCAGCTGAATGCCCTGGAGAGGAAGCCCAGTGCTTCCTGTTGTCTTACCAACGCTGTAAAATGCAAGTTAGAAATAAAGCAAAAAGGGGGAAAGGGGAAAAAAATGGGAAGCTCTCCTGGCTAGATCGGAACGCCAGCCTTTAGGAGGAAACTCAGCTCACTTCTTTTCCCCGGAGATGCAGAGGAAGAGGCACACCTCACATGTGAGTTGTTTCTCAAATCAATCAGGATTCAGAAAATAATCTCTCTATATAAAAAGGGCATTTTTGGCCGGGCTCGGTGGCTCAAGCCTGTAACCCTTGCACTTTGGGAGGCTGAGGTGGGAGGATCACCTGAGGTCAAGAGTTTGAGACCAGCCTGGCCAACATGGTGAAACCCCATCTCTACTAAAAACACAAAAATCAGCCGAGTGTGGTGGTGCACACCTGTGGTCCCAGCTACTCGGGAGGCTGAGGCAGGATAATCGCTGGAACTCGGGAGGCAGAGGTTGTAGTGATCAGAGATCGCACCACTGCACTCCAGCCTGAGTGACAGAGCAAGATTCTGTCTCAAAAAAAAAAAAAAAAAAAAGAAAGAAAGAAAGAAAAAGAAAAAGAAAAGACAAGAAAAACAGCAGAATAAACAACAGAGTTGAAAGTCCTAAAAGGATGACTAAGGAGATATGTGTATGAGATACAGCCAAAGAAATACACCCACCCCCTGTTTAATGCCCTCAAAATCCTTCCATTCTGTGAGAATCTACCCCAAGGGTTTGTAGTGTTGGAAAGAATCATTTAAATATCAGATTTTGTTTGATTGCTTTGCTGCTCTGAGCATCTTAGCTGCCTATGAGATACTTCATGAGATGTAGCAGAAACATCCTGGCCCCCAGGGTAGAGTACACAGGCAGTCCTGACAGGTCACCCGGTATTCATATACTTATTTATTTATATCACCATCATTAATATACATACATTCATTTATTTTTAACATTACCATACAGCTTACCACTTACGAAAATAGCCTCTCTTTGGCTGGCATTTCACTGACAAACTTTTTTCTTCTATTTTCAAAAAGCCAATATAGCTCCATTCAAATTTTATTTGGCCATTTGCCTTCCCCACACCCCCTTCTTAGATAATGTCTTTGAGAAATCTGTGCGAAGGACTGTGTTTAAACCGTCTTCTGCTAATGACACCTCTCCTGAAATTTTCAGATTATACAAGAAACTTCTCTTAAAAGTTTCAAGCGAACCCTGACTTTCTTGATCTAGATTTCTTGAACAATATCATCTTCCTCTACTGCCTGTGTTTCACTTTGTAGAACATCCTTCCTCTGAAAGAGCGATAACAACAACAAAAATTCCACTTTGATCGTAACAGTCGATTAGAAAAGGAAATGCCCTTCAATTCTCTAACTTTTCAAAAATGTCACATGCTTTCGGCCGGGTGCAGTGGCTCACGCCTGTAATCCCAGCACTTTGGGAGGCTGAGACGGGCGGATCACGAGGTCAGGAGATCGAGACCATCCTGGCTAACATGGTGAAACCCCGTCCCTACTAAAAAATACAAAAAATTAGCCGGGCGTGGTGGTGGATGCCTGTAATCCCAGCTACTCGGGAGGCTGAAGCAGGAGAATGGCGTGAACCCGGGAGGCGGAGCTTGCAGTGAGCCGAGATCGCGCCACTGCGCTCCAGCCTGGGCGACAAAGTGAGACTCGTTTCTCAAAAAAAAAAAAAAAAAAAAAAAAAAAAAGTCATGCTTTCCTTTTGAATGCAAGTCAGTGTTGCCTCCCCAGCTCCGCTTCCTACAGTTGTCCTAACAGGAAACTAATTTTTCTTCTTTTATTTCTTTATGGCCACTGTCCTGATTTAATTTATTATTTTTAACTTTTGTGGGTACAGAAAAGTGTATTTATTTATGGGGTACATGAGATATTTTGATACGGGTACACAATGTATAATAATCACATCAGGGTAAATGGGGTACCCATTACCTCAAGCATTTATCTTTTCTTTGTGTTACAAACAATCCAAATATACTCCTTTAGGTATTTAAAAATATACAGTAAATTACTGTTGACTGTAGTCACTCTATTTTGCTATTAAATACTAGATTTTATTCATTCATTCTTTTTTTTCCCCTGAGACAGGGTCTCGCTCTGTCATCCAGGCTGAAGCACAGTGGCCGGATCTCGGCTCACTGCCTTCTCAACTTCCTCGGCTCAAATGATTCTCCCACCTCAGCCTCCTGGGTACTGGGATTACAGGCGTGCACCAGCACGCCCGGCTAATATTTTTTATTTATTTTTATTTTTTTCAAGACGAAGTCTCACTCTGTCGCCCAGGCTGGAGTGCAGTGGCTCAATCCGGACTCACTGCAACCTCCGCCTCCTGGGTTCAAGCGATTCCCCTGCCTCAGTCTCACGAGTAGCTGGGATTACAGGTGCCCGCCACCATGTCAGGCTCATTTTTGTATTTTTAGTAAAGAAAAGGTTTCACCATGTTGGCCAGGCTGGTCTTAAACTCCCAACCGCAGGCAATCTGCCCACCTCGGCCTCCCAAAGTGCTGGGATTACAGGCGTTAGCCACGGAGCCCGGCCATTTTTTAAATTTTTTGTAGAGATGGCGTCTCACTATGTTGCCCAGGATGGTCTTGAACTTCTAGGCTCAATCATTCTCCCAAATTGGCTTCCCACAGCGCTAGTAGCATAAGCCCCTGCACCCAGCCCATTGTTTCTTTTTCTCTCTTTTTTTTTTTTTTGAGACAGAGTTTTTCTCCTGTTGCTCAGGCTGGAAGGCAATGGCGCGATCTTGGCTCACTGCAACCACTGCCTCCCAGGTTCAAACGATTCTCCTGCCTCAGCCTCCCGAGTAGCTGGGATGACAGGCATGCGCCACCGTGCCTGGCTAATTTTGTATTTTTAGTAGAAATGGGGTTTCACCATGTTGGTCAGGCTGGTCTCAAATTCCTGACCTCATGTGATCAGCCCACCTCGGCTTCCCAAAGTGCTGGGATTGCAGGTGTGAGCCACCGCGCCTGCTCCATTGTTTGTAACTGTATTTTTGTACCCATTAACTATCCCAGTTCTCTCTGACCAATCACCCTTTCCAGCCTCTGGAAACCATCATTCTACTCTATATCTCCGGGGATTCAACTGTTTTACTATTTTTAGCTCCCACAAATAAATGAAAACGTGAAGTTTGTCTTTTTGTACTTGGCTTATTTGACTTAACACAATGACCTCCAGTTCCATCCATACTGTGGCAAATGACAGGATCTCATTCTTTTTCTTGGCTGAATAGTACTCCATTGTCTATATGGACCAGTTTCTTTATCCATTCATCTTTTGATGGATACTTAGGTTGCTTCCAAATCTTGGCTATTGTGAATAGTGCTGCAATAAACATGGGAGGGCAGGTATCTCTTCGATATACAGATTTCCTTTCTTTTGGGTATATACCTAGCAGTGGGATTGATGGATCAGATGCTAGCTCTATTTTTAGTTTTTGTTTGTGTGTTTTGAGACAGGGTCTCACCCTGTCGCCCAGGCTAGAGTGCAGTGGCATGAGCTCGGCTCCCTGCAGCCTGAAACTCCCGTGCTCAAGCGATCCTCTCACCTCAGCCTCCCAAGTAGGTGGGACTACAGGCATCCGCTACCATGCCCTGCTAATTTTTTGTATATTTTGTATATATATATGTATATGTATATGTATATATGTATATATAGAGAACGAGCGATGGAGTTTCGATCTTGTTTCCCTGGCTGGAGTGCAATGGCATGACCTCGGCTCATTGCAACCTCCGCCTCCCGAGTTCAAGTGATTCTCCTGCCTCAGCCTCCTGAGGAGCTGGGATTACAGGCATGCGCCACCCTGCCCGGCTAATTTTGTATTTTTAGTAGAGATGGGGTTTCACCACGTTGGTCAGGCTGGTCTTGAACTCCTGATCTCAGGTGATCCGCCCACCTCGGCCTCCCAAAGTGCTGGGATTACAGGCATGAGCCACTGCACTCGGCCCCAAATACTTTTTTTTAAAAGTTACGTTTAAAAATAAAAGAACTCTTTGCATAACGCATGTGTTCACAAATAAGAAAGTGGCATATATTAATTCAGTGGCTGAAATATAATTCTGCGTATGAAAGTACAAAGTCTTTTTTAAAATGTGCTTTATTTACTTTTGATTGCTAGTGCTTCTACTGAGGCTCTCATGGTGGGCGCAGTTCTGCAGCTATTCACCTTTCTATGGGTATTTTGGGTCTCCCACTCTCCTCCCTGTCAACCCTGCTCCAGCACCCAGCAGGTAGGACATCCTTGTTCATACTTTCAAAGTTTATTTAGACCAACAGTGAAATACTTTAACAACTCAGTTTTTTTTTCTTTCGATGGCTATTAACTCTAGTAGTCTCCTCTTTTTGGCATTTAAAATCTTATAAATAGGCACAATTTGTTTCTCAGGCTTCAAAGGAAGAAAAGAGCTGATACTTGCTTGAGCAGCTCAGCCTCTGGTGACTGCCATCAAATTCCATTAGCCCATCATTGAATTTATCGTCTTTTCCCTTCCTGACTTATTTAATCTTTTTTTTCTCCCAATTTGTACCCACTCAGTCCTTTTTCATTTCATTTTCAAGTGTCCTTCTTGGGTGTATTTTTGTGAGTTCATGAACAAATTTTACTTCTTTTGGGGGGCTTAGTTTTCCAGTGTTGATTTCTTAGCTTGTGAATCTCTCCACAGTCCTTGCAAAATGTTGTACTTACTGGCCGGGCGCGGTGGCTCCCGCCTGTAATCGCAGCACTTTGGGAGGCCGAGGCGGGCGGATCACGAGGTCAGGAGATCGAGACCATCCTGGCTAACACGGTGAAACCCCGTCTCTACTAAAAATACAAAAAATTAGCCGGGCATGTTGGCACGCGCCTGTAGTCCCGGCCACTCGGGAGGCTGAGGCAGGAGAATGGCGGGAACCCGGGAGGCAGAGCTTGCAGTGAGCCGAGATCGCACCACTGCACTCCAGCCTGGGCGACAGAGCAAGACTCCGTCTCAAAAAAAAAAAAAAAAGTTTCACTTACTGTTGTTTACTTTTGTAGTTTGTGGGGTTTTTTGCTTGTTTGTTTGCTTGTTTTGAGACGGAGTCTTCTTCCGTCACCAGGCTGGAATCCAGTGGCGCGATCTCGGCTCACTGCAAGCTCCGCCTCCCGGGTTCCCGCCATTCTCCTGCCTCAGCCTCCCGAGTGGCCGGGACTACAGGCGCCCGCCACCGCGCCCGGCTAATTTTTTGTATTTTTAGTAGAGACGGGGTTTCACCATGTTGACCAGCCTCGTCTTGAACTCCTGACCTCAGGTGATCCGCCCACCTCGGCCTCCCAAAGTGCTGGGATGACAGGCGTGAGCCACCACCTGGCCGAGTTTGCGGTTTTCATCACTCAGTCACTTGAGGAGCTGTATTCCCGGCGCGTGGTATCCAAGATGGCGACCGCCACGGCTTCTTTGTTAAGCCTTAAGCGGTACCTGGGTTTTGATGTTGTGAGGTTTGTTCATTCTCAGAGGGCATTTTAATGTTGCGTTACTACTATGTTGCCATGTTACTGGGATTCAATGTTAAATTCTAGATCCTGTTTAATTTTTGGTAGTAGATGACAGGGCTCATCACCTTTTTTGAGATGATGGAGTATAGCCTACTTTGGGAACTTGTATCAAGAGAGGGAGGGTTGCTGGTTGAATGGTATCAATCCTTTAAGTCATCGCCAGTTCACAATTTCTATCTTCCTGTGGAACATACTGTTTTTCCCAATCCCAAGAAGCCTTTTGCTAGATACATGATTTTTAAAAATCAACGTTTTTTGTTTTTTTTTTGAGACGGAGTCTTGCTCTGTCGCCCAGGCTGGAGTGCAGTGGCGCGATCTCGGCTCACTGCAAGCTCCGCCTCCCGGGTCCAAGTGATTCTCCTGCCTCAGCCTCCCAAGTAGCTGGAACTACAGGCGCCCATCACCACGCCCGGCTAATTTTTTGTGTTTTTAGTAGAGACGGGGTTTCGCCATGTTAGCCAGGATGGTCTCGATCTCCTGACCTCGTGATTTGCCTGCCTTGGCCTCCCAAAGTGCTGGGATTACAGGCGGGAGCCACCGCGCCCGGCCCCGTTTTTATTTTTTATTGTTGTTAAGTTTTCCACTGTCAGTTCCTGAGCTTCCGCAGGTGGAAAGGTAGGTCAGCCTGCGGTCTGGCTGTTGCATCCACTCTGAGGTTACTCAAGGTGGAGGAGCAGCACCAGAATAACAGAGATGGCTTTCTACTGGGCGTTAGCACTGAGGTTACAGTCCTAGGTTGACTCTAACGAAACATGCCCTTGAGCTAAGCATTGCCCTCCTGGGCTTCACTTTCCTCACCTACAAAATAAGGAGGTTGAACTAGATAATTTCTACTGTTTCCTGCAAGTCTAATGTTCTGTGATTCTAAGAGCTTTCTGTTAGATTATCTGAGTGAATTAGACAGATATTAGAAATATTTATAAATAAAATATCGATTGTAAATAAAATTAGAAAGAGTGGGAGGGGTCAGCTTAGTTAAGAAAGGGAGCAATGTGGAGGTGTTTGGTTTGCCCGTGGCCCAGAGGTGATGAGGAAGCAGCCTTCCCTTCCTGTCCCCACAACCTTTATCTGATTGTTTATAACTGTGAGCTTCCAGTCTGTGAGAACACCTATGTGGATTTTGTTTGTTATCACTGAGGGTTTCAGCTAACTCATAGCCACAAAGTCATTGGACTATTGGACTTAGAGGGCTATTGAGCCCTCTAAGATGGGTATGTCTCAGCTCTCTTTCTCATCCAGGTGCCAGCACCTACCTGTGAGATACTGACCAGGAATCTCTTTCCTAACACCCCTAAAATAGGCTGGAATCTGC
Organism: Homo sapiens; assembly: GCF_000001405.40. Classification (NCBI taxonomy): domain Eukaryota; kingdom Metazoa; phylum Chordata; class Mammalia; order Primates; family Hominidae; genus Homo; species Homo sapiens. The sequence continues at coordinate 196,677,444 of NC_000003.12, forward strand.
CCCCCACCCCTCAAGCCAGCTGACAGCAACATCAGGACAAGTTTAGATGTTTCTAAGCTGACAAAGGGCACTCTGCTTGGGAACTGCCCACTGGTTTCTTGGTATCAATAAACTAGAGCTTCACCACCCACCCCCACATCCTCAAATCTGATGTCCTAATCAGGGAATTACAGCTCGGTCTTCCCTTATGATTTCAACATCATAAACCTTTTAGGTCTGTTCACTTCTAGAAAGATGCATTTATTTGCTTGAGGCTTATTTAAAGTCCAAATACACAGAAATCTTACTCCTTGTTTGAGCAAATCCCTAAGACATTCATTTATTCAGCAAATATTTACCAAGCTGCTGCTCTGTGCCAGGCACTGCTTAGCTCTGGGGATACATACAAAGCTATATTTTTAATTCATTGGTTGTCACTTACAAGTTACTTTTCTTCACTTCCATCCCCCATCCCTCCACTGTTCTTGACTCCCCCAAGTATCCTGAGAGCTGAGTGCTGAACTACTCCCGTCAGCACTGGGTCAAGGTTCTCTGTGCTGCATTTGGACAATGACAAGAAGGGTGTGTGGCATATGTATCATATAAGCTGTTTTCTGTGTCTTCATTTTTCTTAATTTAATGTGCTCCTGAAAGAGGAATCAGTTTCTCTTCCTGTGTCACCCATGCATTTGCCACATACTATAACACAATAGGCCATTTCTGTTCTTAGTCTCAAAGCTGGATGACACAGAACATCAGTTTGCCACATATCTAATCATCCAACAGACACATTAGTCCAGACTCTGGGCTCAGAATCTCAAAGAAACTAGAAAACAAGTAATATTGGCTTAGCCCTAGTGCCAGTCAGTTGCCTCTTTACTTTCAGATCCCTTCTCCACCCTTTCCTGTTTTGCTCTGTATCCATCCATACTGATATAAATAAATGTCTAAATAAATTAATAAGTGGGAAAGAAGAATTATAAATAATGTGTGTAGATTCTTTCCATTCTAGGAAGTGAATCTTATCCTCCTCTGCTGCCCTCCCTCAACTTTGGAGTGTGGTTGGACTTAGTGATGTACTTCCAAAAAATAAAATATGGAGAGGCAAAAATAGTAACGTCACAGTAAAGCAACCTGGCAGATACTACTTGAACCGAGTGATGAAGGTTAACATCACCAATGGTGTCATGCAAGTAGTATGTACCCCTTGATACGATGTGATGAGAACGGCACATCACCTCTGGTATTCCTTCCAATAACCCATCACCCCAGTCCTATAATGAGAAAAATACAAGACAACCCAATCTGAAATACATTCTACAAAATATCTGACCAGTCCTCTTCAAAACTATCAAGGTCATGAAACACAAGGAAAGCCTAAGAAAGTAATAACTAATCACAATACAGTATTCTGGATTGGATCCTGGAAGAAACAAAGATCACTAATGAAAATATCTGGTGAACTATGAGTAAAGTCTGGAGTTTATTAATAGCAATGTATCAATGTTGTTTTCTTAGTTTTGACAAATGTATTGGATAAACAAATTGGGTGAGAGGTATATGGAAACGTTTTGTAGTATCTTCAGAACTTTTCTGTGACTCTGAAATTATTCTAAAACAAAAAAATTTTAGTAAACTCTCAAGAGGAAAAAAATGAATTACCAATGTCAGGAATTAAAATGAGAATATTGCTACAGACCCTACAACAATAGAAGATAATACGATGTTGTAACTATCTTTGCACAATAATTTGAATAATTTAGATGAAATCAGCAGAGGCTTTGGAAAATACAAGTAAATAAATATGAGATGAGAAGAAAGAATAAAATCTGAATAGTCCTGTAGGTTAGATTTGTAATTAAAACCGTTCTACAAAGAAAACTCCATGTCCAGATGGCTTTACTAGTGAATGACTCAAAATATTGAAGAAAGAAAAATATTAATATTCTTCAGAAATTTTTTAAAACGATAGAGGTTCATGACCAACATGGTGAAACGCCATCTCTCCTAAAAATACAAAAATTAGCTAGGTATGGTGGCTCATGCCTATAATCCCAGCTACTCGGAAGGCTGAGGTAGGAGAATTGCTTGAACCTGGGAGACGGAGGTTGCAGTGAGCTGAGATCGCGCCACTGCACTCCAGCCTGGGCGACAGAGCAAGACTCTGTCTCAAAAAAGAAAAAAAAAAGGAAAAGTTAATATATTCCAACATGTTTTATGAGGTGGGCAAAATCCTGATATCGAGACTCAAAACCAGACATTGCAAAAAGAGAAAATTGTTGGACGACCTCTTTAATGAGCTTGGATATAAATATTCTCAACAAAATATTAACAAAGCAAATCTGGCAATATACCCCAAAAAGACTTCACACCTTGCTCAGTAATGCCAGGTTTATTCTAGTAATGCAAGATTAGTATAACATTTGAAAGTCAATCAACACAAATTTTACATGAACAGACTAAAAGAATAATCATGTAATCATCTCAATATGCAAAAAAGCACCTGAAAAAATTCAATACCTGTTAATGTAATAACACTCAGGAAACCAATAATAGAAGATTTTTTAATTCATTAAATAGTATCCATCTGTGCCAGGTGCGGTGGCTCATACCTGTAATCCCAGCACTTTGGGAGGCTGAGGCAGGTGGATCATGAGGTCAGGAGTTCAAGAGCAGCCTGACCAAGATGGTGAAACTCTGTCTCTACTAAAAATACAAAAATTAGTCGGGCGTGGTGGGGGGCACCTGTAATCCCAGCTACTCAGGAGGCTGAGGCAGGAGAATCACTTGAACCCAGGAGGCAGAGGTTGCAGTGAGCCAAGATCATGCCACTGAACTCCAGCCTGGGCAACAGAGCAAGACTCCATCTCAAATAATAATAATAAAATAGTATCCACCTGCAAAAGGTTTTTGCGAAATACTGCAAAAATAGTATCCATCTGCAAAAAGCACTTTTTGCAGAACTTTTCTGTGACTCTGAACTTTTCTGTGACTCTGAAATTATTCTAAAACACAAGAACATTTTAATTAGGTATAGGTATCATCAAACTGAATGCTGAAATATTGAATACTTCCCCCTGACATCAGAAACATGGTAATGATATGTACCATCACCACCAATACCCAACAGTGTACTGGAGGTTCTAGCCATTACTGTCAAGAAAGGGGGGGAAGGAATAAAAACTGGAAAGCAAAATACCTGTCATTATTCACAAATGACGTGACGACATACATAGAAAGTCTGAAAGAATCTGCAAATAAATGATGCGATTTCACAGATGAATTTAGCACAGTTGCTAGAAGGAAGGTCAGTATACAAAAACCAACTGTATTTGTACATGCTTCTACAATCAACTAGAAAATAAAAATCTTTAAGACACCATTTATACTAACACCCAGCAATTCCATTCCTAGTACTTATCCAAGGAAAATGAATCCCCCAAAAGACATGTACACACTTTTAGCAGCTTTATCACAGTAATAAAAAACTGACAACCACCTAAAAGCCCATCCACAGAGGGCTGAATCACCAAACTGTAATATATTCATATATAGAAATACCACACAGCAATACAAAAGAGAAAGTACCATTTTATGCCACAGAGTCAATGAATCTCACTGCCCCACGTTGAGCAGAGAAACCAGATGCCAAAAAGTATATACTGTTTTTGTTTTGTTTTTGTCTTATTAGTAGAGACGGGGTTTCAGCATCTTGGCCAGGCTGGTCTTGAACTCCTGACCTCATGATCCACCCGCCTCGGCCTCCCAAAGTGCTGGGATTACAAGCGTGAGCCACCGCGCCTGGCCAAGTATATACTGTTTTATTCAATTACATTCAAGATGACGAAAGCAATCTAAGGTGGTAGAAGTTACAGTGGTTCACCCTTTTGGGGGTTTGGTATTGACAAGGAAGGGGATGAGGCAGCCTTTTGGAGGTGCTGGAGACGTGTGCTGGTGCCCACAGGGGTGTACATCTGTGTCAACGTTCATTGAACTGTACACTTCAAATTGATGCACTTTGCTGTACGTCCGTTAAATAAAAATGACTATGGAATAATCGCAACCAATCTAGACAATGATAATACTGTAGACAGCATATGACGAAAGCCTGGTCCAAAGCACCTGAGGAGGGGGATCGTAATGTCTGAGACTGACTCTTCAGGACTTAGAATCTCCTTAGAAAGAAAGATAAGTGTAAAAGTTACCACCCTATAATGATGACATAGATTTTTTTTCTTTGCAATTTTATCTTTTTTTTTTTTTTTTTGAGATGGAGTTTCACTGTTGTTGCCCAGGCTGGAGTGCAATGGCACAATCTCGGCTCACCGCAACCTCCGCCTCCCAGGTTCAAACGATTCTCCTGCCTCAGCTTCCTGAGTATCTGGGATTACAGGCATGCACCACCACGCCTGGCTAATTTTGTATTTTTAGTAGAGACGGAGTTTCACCATGTTGGTCAGGCTCAAACTCCCGACCTCAGATGATTCGCCCACCTCAGCCTCCCAAAGTGCTGGGATTACAGGTGTGAGCCACCGTGCCCAGCCCTTATATTTTAAAGGATATTGTTGTTTTACGCATTTTGTATCAGTCGTTTTCAAAAAGTGAATTGCCTATGTGTTACTATCTAGCTTGGAAAAACTTGCAGGTCTCTTTAGCAAACACACATTGTGTGGAAAACACGCTACTCTCTGTGAGAAAGCCAGAAAGGAGCCTCAGGAAATGAACCTGTAAATTAAAGAAAGGAGGGAGATGTTTCCTCCAGCTAGTGGGAAACCTGGAGAGAGGACAGAGGTGACTCTTCCCCAACTCCCACACCTGGACTTTTCCCTCACGGAGGAAGGAAGGAGATGCAGGTATATTTGCTGGAGGGATTTTCTCTGAAGTGGGATGTAAACAAAATACTGTGAAACCAACTTAAGGCAATTTGTCCGTTTATAATCGTTGGTAGATAACAGATGAGGTCCACAGATGTCCTGACCCAAACATCATGGCATGATGGAAGCAAGTCTCAGCCCAGACAGAGCCATATGCACATCATGTTTACTATCAGGCAGGTACAGGAACAGTTTTCAAATGTGTTCTGTGTACTTGACGAAGCCCCAGATCTCCGACCTTTTCGGTACTACTCCATTTCACTTGACACAAATGAAACGCTAGTCTCCAGTGAGGATCCAGCTAGCCTCTTGTCAAACTCAAAGGGCCAAGACTATTTTTTTTTGAAACAGAGTCTTGCTCTGTTGTCCAGGCTGGAGTGCAATGGCATGATCTCGGCTCACTGCAACCTCCACCTTCCAGGTTCAAGCGATTCTCCTGCCTCAGCCTCCCGAGTAGCTGGGATTACAGGTGCACACCACCACTCCTGGCTAATTTTTTTTGTATTTTCAGTAGAGACAGGGTTTCTCCATGTTGGTCAGGCCGGTCTCGAACTCCCGACCTTGGGTGATCTGCCCGCCTCGGCTTCCCGAAGTGCTGAGATTACAGGCATGAGCCACTGTGCCCAGCCCAGAAAGGTTTTCTTTTCTTTTCTTTTTCTTTTTTTTTTTTTTTTTGAGACAGAGTCTCCCTCTGTCACCCAGGCTGCAGTGCAGTGGCACGATCTCGGCTCACTGCAACCTCTGCTACCAGGGGACCTGCCCCGATAATCACGTACGTTCTTTTCTCGTTTCCCTAAGCGTCCGCCGGCTTGAGAAATAAAGGGACAGAGTACAAAAGAGAGAAATTTTAAAGCCGGGCATCTGGGGAAGACATCACATGTCGGTAGGTTCCGTGATGCCCCACAAGCCACAAAAACCAGCAAGTTTTTATTAGGGATTTTCAAAAGGGGAGGGAGTGTGCGAATAGGTGTGGGTCACAGACATCAAGTATTTAACAGGGTAATAGAATATCACAAGGCAAGTGGAGGAAGGGCGAGATCACAGGACCACAGGACCAAAGTGAAATTAAAATTGCTAATGAAGTTTCGGGCACCATTGTCATTGATAACATCTTATCAGGAGACAGGCTTTTGAGATCAACTGGTCTGACCAAAATTTATTAGGCGGGAATTTCCTCTTCCTAATAAGCCTGAGAGCGCTATGGGAGACTGGAGTTTATTTCATCCCTACAGTCTCGACCATAGAAGATGGCCACACCTAAGGGGGCCACACCGAAGGGGGCCATTTATAGACCCACCCTCAGGGGTGCATTCTCTTTCTCAGGGATGTCCCATGCTGAGAAAAAGAATTCAGCGATATTTCTGCCATTTGCTTTTGAAAGAAGAGAAATATGGCTGTGTTCTGCCCTGCTCACATGTGGTCAGAGTTTAAGGTTATCTCTCTTGTTCCCTGAACAATTGCTGTTATCCTGTTCTTTTTTCAAGGTGCCCACATTTCATATTGCTCAAACACACATGCTGTACAATTTGTGCAGTTAATGCAATTATTACAGGGTCCTGAGGTGACATACATCCTCCTCAGCTGACAGGATTAAGAGATTAAAGTAAAGACAGGCATAGGAAATCACAAGGGTATTGATTGGGGAAGTGATAAGTGTCCATGAAATCTTCACAATTTATGTTTAGAGATTGCAGTAAAGATAGGCATAAGAAATTACAAAAGTATTAATTTGGGGAACTAATAAATGTCCATAAAATCTTCACAATCCACGTTCTTCTGTCATGGCTTCAGCTGGTGACTTCCTGCAACACTCCGCCTCCCGGGTTCAAGTGATTCTCCTGCCTCAGCCTCCCCAGTAGCTGGGACTACAGGCACCCGCCACCACACCCGGCTAATTTTTTGTATTTTCAGTAGAGATGGGGTTTCACCATGTTGGCCAGGCTGGTCTCGATCTCCTGACCTCATGATCCACCCGTCTCGGCCTCCCAAAGTGCTGGGATTACAGGCTTGAGCCACCGCGCCTGGCCAAGGTTTTCTTAATGGAGGGACATAAAGTCGATATTAGTCGAAAGGGGCAAGTCCCCCTCTTTTACAATGGACACAGAGCTGAAAAGACTATGAGTGACAAAAACTGGTGATAAGTGAAACACAAAACAGGAAAATAGAAGGAGTTACAGTAACATTGTTTGAAGTGTTTTGTTTTTGTTTGAGACGGAGTCTTGCTCTGTCACCCAGGCTGGAGTGCAGTGGTGCGATCTCGGCTCACTGCAACCTCCATCTCCCGGGTTCAAGCGATTCTCCTGCCTCAGCCTCCTGAGTGGCTGGGATTACAGGTGTTCACCACAATGCCCGTATTTTTGTATTTTTAGTAGAGATGGGGTTTCACCACGGTGGCCAGGTTGGTCTCGAACTCCTGACCTCAGGTGATCCGCCTGCCTCGGCCTTCCAAAGTGTTGTGATCACAGGCGTGAGCCACCGCGCCTGGCCTGTTTGAAGTTTTCTTAATGTATTGCATTTAATCAAAGAGGATTGTAAAATGTTTTTAAACTCAGGTGAGCTCTGAAAGTGCCTAGTCCTTGTATTTACCCAAACCAGTGTTTAACTCCTGCCACTGCCACTCACAAAATGCTGGATTGCCTACCACTTACTTCACTCTGCTCCTTGGTTTCTTAATCTGTATAATAGGATCAGAAATTCTTCTGTGAGGAAATTCGGAAAGGAAAACCCAAACGTAGCAGAGACAATGGACATTGGCACCCTTCTGCCCCCTGGTGGTAATTTTTAGAACCATGTGGGCAGTGGCGAGGCTAAAAATAAAATGTGCAAAGTGTAAAACAAAAACCACGCAGTGTCTTCCTTGTCATGCACAGCCGCGTTCGAATCGCTCATTGTCTTGCCTCCTCAGTGCTTTCTCCCGCCCACGACTATCAGTGGTCCAACCACACATTGCAGGAAGTTCCAGGAGTCATCCACTTACCCTAGAGCAAGCTTGTCCCACCTGCTGCCCGCGGGCTGCATGTGGCCCAGGTGGCTTTGAATGCAGCCCAACACAAATTGATAAGCTTTTTTTTGTGACTTTTTTTTTTTTTAGTTCATCAGCTATCATTAGTGTTAGTGTATTTTTTAATGTATGGCCCAAGACAATTCTTCTTTTAATGTGGGGAGAAAAAAGATTGGACACCCCTACCCTAGAGGAATGATAGTGTTTAGTATTTGTTTTCATTCTTATTTTCCTTCTCCTCTATATCGCATGGATTGTGGAGCGTGTCCATGTCTTCAGGTCATCAGCATGACTTTTAGGGGAGGTGACTACAGAGTCAAAGCCATGGGAGATGCGGAATTCAGCTGAAGATCACTTAAACATCCAGCACCGCTGTAGCACTAGTCATAGAAAGAATATGAAGAGAATTCAAGATTAAACAGATTGGCCAGGCGCGGTGGCTCAGGCCTGTAATCCCAGCACTTTGGGAGGCCGAGGCAGGCGGATCACCTGAGGTCAGGAGTTAGAAACCAGCCTGGCCAACATGGTGAAACCCATCTCTATTAAAAGTACAAAAAATTTAGCCGGGTGTGGTGGCACATGCCTGTAATCCCAGCTACTCGGGAGGCTGAGGCAGGAGAATCGCTTGAACCCGGGAGGCAGAGGTTGCAGTGAGCCGAGATTGTGCCACTGCACTCCAGCCTGGACGACAGATCAAGACTCTGTCTGGAAAAAAAAAAAAAAAAGATTGAGCAAAGCAGTCAATAGATTAATTGGATTTAATTAAGTGATGAAAGAATTGAGTAATGGAACTTCACCCATTCTAACCATGTGATAAAGTAGAAAAGGTTCAAAGATTTAGTAGGGGTTTAAAATGAGTTTAAGAGAATGGGATTACAATTCCAATCCCATTGGTAAGACAAATTTTATTTCTAAAAATTCATGTATTTCCCCCCTTTATACAACTGCAAATGCGAGTTTGGAGCTAGAGTGGGAGAGGAAAGCAAAGAATGAAGGGAAAGAAATAGGAGGAAGATTCTAGAAATGGGGGCAGCATGGGAGAAGTGGTGGGAGCAAAGTCCTGGCATATAGATGCCACAATCAAAACTTCTGCCCTGTTTCCTAGCTGCTTGGTGTCAGCACTGGGGCCATTCCCCCAGCCTGTGACCTTGGCATCCCCTATGTTGACCTGGGCTCTTCCTCTGTCCTTCCACCTGGATGTCCTTTAGTGGGTCCTGGCCAGGGTCCTATTGCTCCCTTTAACCTCTGGAGCTTTTGTCTGCTACATTTTCTTACACTGATGCTGACTCAGACCTAATGCTGGGTGAAGTTGTGATGTGGCTGAAGTGTCTGGGTGTAATTCAAGAATCCTCGAGGGAGAATCAGGAGTTTTGGGTTCCGGTTCCAACTTGGTAATTTACCAAGTCACAGCCTCCTGGAGCCTGGTTTTCCCTATCAATAAAATGAAGAAATCTGTCTTCTCTAGTTCATAAGTTGTCAAGATCAAATGTGTAAATACATAGGAAGTTCTTAGGAAAGGGAAGGCTTCTATCACTGTAAAGAAGTATCATTGATAACTAGTATATGATAGTCTGCTGCCGTCTGCCTTCCCCATATGTACCCTATCATGCTCTGAGTCCCTCCTTCCTGCCTTTTCCCCATCTCTTATCACAACCTGCTTTTTGTATGTGATTGCTATTTACACCTTGATAATATTAAATCAGAGATATACACAATTAAATTTGAGATAGTTACGCCTTGTCCAGAAATATTCACATATTAAGCTTGATCGCTATTTGGGTGGTAAAAAGTTAGTCCTTGTTCAAGAAATGTTAACCAACAGTTTGGGGTAGGAGGGAGAAGTGAGGCTTTCCTTGTGTTCTGAAATCACTATATTTCATGCCTGAATTAGCCTGTCTGAGCTGGAATTCAGAGTGAATCTTTGGATCCATGTTTTAAAGGGACAACTATAGAGACTCCCATTGCTTTTTCTATGCACATAGTTTTTGTGCGGTTTTTACTGGAATCTTATTACAGTTACAGTTACCATCCCATGGACCAACATGGTCCATCGAGGGCCTTGCAGTGAGAGGGTCAGTCCATAGATGCTGGAGCCACATGACGTGGGTTCAAATTTCAACTCTCCCACTTATTAGTGTGTGACCTTGGACAGGCTGCTTCACTGCTCCGGCCCTCAGTTTTCTAATTTGCAAAATGGGGGAGATTAATAATACCTATCTCCAGAGGTTTGTTGGGAGGATTAAATAATAGGCCTAAAACACCTAGAGCAGTGTCTGGCACTGAGTACACATTAGCTGGAATTTATTTCAATTGCATGTTTGAAAAAATTTAAACCATTCAGAAATTTAATTTTAAAAATAAAAAATGAAAAGTCACTTAAGCTCTCTATCTCCCACTTTAACCCCACTCCTCTTTCCACAGGCAAACTGTTAACAGTCACTTTGCACACATCATTCAAGAGTTTTGTTTTGTTTTTGTTTTTGTTTTGAGACTGAGTTTTGCTCTTGTTGCCCAGGCTGGAGTGCAATGGTGTGATCTCGGCTCACTGCAACCTCTGCCTCCCAGGCTCAAGCGATTCTCCTGCCTCAGCCTCCCGAGTAGCTGGGATTAAAGGCATGCGCCACCACGCCCGGCTAAATTTTGTATTTTTAGTAGAGATGGGGTTTCTACATGTTGGTTAGGCTGGTCTCAAACTCCTGCCCTCAGGTGATCCGCCCGCCTCGGCCTCCCAAAGTCCTGGGATCACAGGTGTGAGCCACTGCACCTGGCCTCATTCAAGAGTTTTTACTGATATATTTTTTAAATCAAAGAATTATAATATACTATTTGGCAACTTGTTTTCCTCACTTAACCATGTAGCTAGGAGTTATTTCCAGGTCACTATGCCCAGTGCTACCTTCTTCTGCCTAAGGGTTTCATAGTATGCCGCAGCATGGACACTGCGCAATTCACTTAACCAATGTCTTATTGATGGATATTTGGAGTGTTTCCAGTTTTCGATATTTGGAGTGTTTCCAGTTTTCCACGATCATATTCGCTTTTTGCACATTCTTTTCTCTTTATAATTCAGAACCATCAAGCTGAAGCCCAGCAGGGCTTCCTCATTTCATCATCATAGCTCATTTCCTATTGAGCAAAGCTTCTTCCTCGGGTCAGCTCTTGCCACACTTCTTTCTACAGAAACAAGAAGTGGAGTTATCTGTCCTGGGCTTCGGGAGTGAACACACCCATTCCCACGCTGCTGCTGCCCACGCTGCTTTGCCCACACAGCACCACTGTCCCTGGGGATCCTGAATAACAATCTGCTGAGCAAAATCAACATCCCTTTGGCTACAGCGAGGCTAATTGCACTTAATAGGTTGTAAGAGTTCTGGTACAGACAGGCTCCTTCCCATGATGTATTTCACCACCTCATTGAAGAGATGTGTGTTCCAGTGAGAGTCTGTTCCTCCGTGTCATCCCAACAAATGCTCCTATGTCCAGGAGCCATTGTCAGGAATGCTCGTTCCTCTCCCTTCTACACAGACAAATCTCCCTTTGAGGACACACTCAACTCCAACTCCTTTTGTGAAGCTTTCCCTGTTGCTCCAGCCTGCATGAATCCTTCCCTCCGCCGAATTTCTTCAGCAAGAATGCCTTCTAGGCCAGGCACGGTGGCTCATGCCTGTAATCCCAGCACTTTGGGAGGCCGAGGCGGGCAGATCACCTGAGGTCGGGAGTTCGAGACCAGCCTGACCAACATGGAGAAACCCTGTCTCTACTAAAATACAAAATTAGCTGGGTGTGGTGGTGTGTGCCTATAATCCTAGCTACTCAGGAGGCTGAGGCAGGAGAATCACTTGAACCCGGGAGGCGGAGGCGGAGGTTGTGGTGAGCTGAGATGGCGCCACTGCACTCCAGCCTGGGCAACAAGAGCGAAACTCCATCTGAAAAAAAAAAAAAAAAAAAAAAAAAGAATGCCTTCTAAGTGCATAGCACCTGTGTGAGGGTGAAACCCTGGCCCACAGAGCCAGTGGTCGTAGGATAGTTAAAATAGAAGGCCACAGTATATTGGGAGGCCAAGGCGGGCGGATCACGAGGTCAGGAGATCGAGACCATCCTGGCTAACATGGTGAAACCCCGTCTCTACTAAAAATACAAGAAATTAGCCGGGCGTGGTGGCGGGCGCCTGTAGTCCCAGCTACTCGGGAGGCTGAGGCAGGAGAATGGCGTGAACCTGGGAGGCGGGGCTTGCAGTGAGCAGAGATCGTGCCACTGCACTCCAGCCTGGGCGACAGAGCAAGACTCCGTCTCAAAAAAAAAAAAAAAAAGGCCATAGTATATCAGAATTCCATAGAAATAAGATTATTACAAAAAGCCTATAAGCAGAGAGACACTGGAATATACTGAAGCTAGTATGAGCAAAAGGGAATTGTGGGTTGGAACACCAATACCCACAGCAACAGTGAAGGAAAGCAAAAGCCTCGCACAGCGCTTCTCAAAGTGTGGTCTGGGGGCTTGTTAGAAATGCAATTTCTTGGCCAGGCGCAGTGGCTCACACCTGTAATCCCAGCACTTTGGGAGGCCAAGGCAGGCGGATCACCTGAGGTCAGGAGTTCAAGACCAGCCTGGCCAACACGGCAAAACCCTGTCCCTACTAAAAATATAAAAATTAGCCAGGCGTGGTGGCACACGTCTGTAATCCCAGCTACTCAGGAGGCTGAGACAGGATAATTGCTTAAACCTGGGAGGTGGGAGTTGCAGTGAGCTGAGATTGCGCCACTGCACTCCAGGCTGGGTGACAAGAGCGAGACTCTATCTCAAACAAATTAAAAAAAGAAAAAGGAAAATAAATGCAAATTCTTAGGCTCCACCCCAGACTTACTGAATCAGAAATTCTGGGGGTGGAACGCAGCAATCTGCGCTATCGTGAGTCCCACAGATGAGTCTGGTGCATGCTGAAGTCTAAGAACCACTAGCTTGAGTAGAGATTCAAAGTTTGGGTCTCTAGCACAGAAAGACTTTTGCAACAACGAGTCTCGGGAGGCGTAAAGCAAGCAGAGAGGACTGCAGCTGTTAAAAGTAGTCCTAAGAAGATTCTAGGTAGGAGAACTCAAGCGTGGGGAGCTGGGAAACCCCAGCTGGCAGGGAGGGGTCCTACCTGGCGAGCTGCCCCCCAAGGGCCTGCGCTGGTCAAGTGTCTCCCGAAGGGTCTGCCTGCGGGCAGGAGAAACACAGGTGTCCAGGACTAGTGTTCTGACTGATACGTGGCCCTAGGATTTCTCTCCTGGGACCACTTGGAGAGGCAACCCTTGGCTGCCAGAGGAAGAGACTGATGGAGGCAGCAGGACGGGAGGAAGGCCTGTGGGAGGAGGGTGCCAGAGTGGGAAGGGAGCATGTGAGGAGAGTCTTGATGGTTAATGCCAATTACCTCTAGAAAATTACCAGGCTTTACAGACTCAAGAGCTACTACCCAAAAGATTGAAAAAACTGCCTTAAAAAAAAAAAAAGCAACCCACCCCAGGGAAGAGAGAGAGCTATTTAGAAAACTCCAGAAGTAAATAAGCTCAGACAAATCTGAGATTTATCTGGTCTCTGCTCCTGAGTCCTGTCTGAGAATCAGGCACCTAAGAGACGGGGTGTTGTGTCCACCAGAGACGGTGGAGAGGCCGGGCACGGTGGCTCACACCTGTAATCCCAGCACTTCGGGAGGCCGAGGTGGGCAGATCACCTGAGGTCAGGAGTTCAAGACCAGCCTGGCCAAGGTGGTGAGACTCTGTCTCTTCTAAAAATACAAAAATTAGCCAGACTTGGTGGCGCACACCTGTAATCCCAGCTACTCGGGAGGCTGAGGCAGGAGAATCGCTTGAACCCGGGAGGCAGAGGATGCAGTAAGCCAAGATCACGCCATTGCACTCCAGCCTGGGTGACAGAGCGAGACTCCATCTCAAAAAAGAAAAGAGATAGCGAAGAAAGCCATCATCTCTGGTGGTTTGCAGGTTTGATTTTCATAGCAGAACCCTTAATGAAGATCTCAAGTAGAACTCTGAAATGGGAAAAACTTCAACATGTAAGAATTGAGCTGCTGTGGATAAATTAGGAGTCCAGTTCCCACCTCCTTATTCTTTTTATCACTCAGAACAATGACCACTTTTACACCCGACCCCAACCCTAGCTCCCCAGGATGCTGCTCCACAGAAGGCAGCTTGAAAAACGCCAATGGTTAACCTCTCTGGTGCCTTGCTGGGCTGCTGTAGGGACAGCGGGGTCACTGCTTCACAAAGTCACCCTTCCCGTTGCTGGCGGTTTTGATCTTCAGAGAGTTCTGTCTTTTCTTTTTTCTTCTTCTTCTTTTTTTTTTTTTTTCTGAGGCGGAGTTTTATGCTTTTCCCCCAGGCTAGAGTGTGCAATGGCGTGATCTGGGCTTGCTGCAACCTCTGTCTCCTGGGTTCAAGTGATTCTCCTGCCTCAGCCTCCCGAGTAACTGGAATTACAGGTGCACACAACCACGCCCAGCTAATTTTTGGATTTTTAGTAGAGACGGGGTTTCACCATGTTGGCCAGGCTAGTCTCGAACTCCTGACCTCAAGTGATCCACCCTCCTTGGCCTCCCAAAGTGCTGAGATTACAGGCGTGAGCCACCGCGCCTGGCCAGAAAGTTCTGTCTTTTCTTGAGGTGAGAGCTGCTCCCTAAATTTCCAATCACTGTGCCTAGTTTTTCCCTCTAGAAGTAGTAATATATTCTTCTACGTGAAAGATCTGTAAAGAACTAAAGAGCTTTAAGAGCAATCTTTTAACTTTTGCCTTTTCCAGGCAAAAATCTCATCACTTCTTGCAAAGGATTCTCATGTGACATGGTCACTCTCTGTGGGACACACTCCAGTTTGTCAACATCTTTTAAAATGAGGCTCCTGGAAGAAAACATGGCTCCAGACAGGATCTGATCAGGACCTTTCCCCCATCTGAGCACTAACCCTCAATTAATGTAGCGTAGGCTTACATTAGCTTTCTGGGCAGCCAGTCCACAGAGTGTTCATACTGCGACTGCTGCCAATTGGATGCCCTCTGTCTGTTTCACGTTGTTTTTAGGTTAACTGTTTCCTGTCCTGTGCTCTTGCAGTTGGCATTTCTTAATGCAAGTCATGGACTTTACTTGTGTCTCCATAATATCTTGTCCTGTAGGTGTTAGTCCAGTCACTCAAAATATTATAAAATACAGATCTTTTCCTTTTCTTTTTTTTTTTTTGAGATGGAGTTTTGCTCTTGTTGCCCAGGCTGGAGTGCAGTGGTGCAGTCTCAGCTCACTGCAACCTCCGCCTCCTGGGTTCAAGCAATTCTCCTGCCTCAGCCTCCCGAGTATCCAGGATTGCAGGCGTGCACCACCACGCCTGGCTAATTTTGTATTTTTAGTAGAGACGGGGTTCCACCATGTTGGCCAGGATGGTCTCCATCTCCTGACCTAGTGATCCACCCACCTCGGCCTCCCATAGTGCTGGGATTATAGGCATGAGCCACCACGCCCGGCTGGCAAAAGACTTTTTAAAAAAACTTTCACATATTGAACACTTACTCCATGACAGATGCTGTACTATGCATATGGTATCTAACTTCCTCCTTACGCTGGCCCAGTGGAAACAGGTATTAACGTCCCATTTTACAAATGAGAAAACTGGGGAAAGGAACAAAGATGAATGTATCCTGATTTCTGAGGGTCTTTTCGGCTGATGACTGAGCAGGGAGATGTTCTACACACACAGCCATTTAAGCCCCACCCAGCAGTCCTAAGGGAAGAGTTAGGCTCAGCACCGGATGAAAGGCTTGAACCACGGGAGCGAGAGCAGAAGAAAAACTCACTCCTGGTTCCTTCTCCCTAGGGTGACACCTCATCCACCTTTTGAAGAAAGTGGGGCCAGGCATAGGAATGGACCAAGAAAATGAAAAACAGTTAAAGCTGGATTTTAAAAATAAAGCTTATTGAGCATATAATGCTATAAAATGTGCTTGCTCATGCAGTTGTCTTGGATGTAAGACCCTGATATTTGGATACAGTGGCTTTATCAGGATGAAATATTTTTTCTTCCTTGACTTCCACCATGCCCAGTTAATTTTTTGTATTTTTAGTAGAGACGGGGTTTCACCGTGTTAGCCAGGATGGTCTCCATCTCCTGACCTCGTGAGCCGCTGGCCTCGGCCTCCCAAAGTGCTGGAATTACAGGCGTGAGCCACCACGCCCGGCCTTGACTTCCTTTTTTGGTTTTGCGGGAGGGAATGGATTGAGTGAAGGAGGAACCCCACACAGTCTACTCTATCTACACAGCATTTATGACCGTGTGATATTTTTCTTTTTCTTTTTTTTTGCCTATAGTTTCTTGTTGGAAAAAGACACGTTTTCTTGTTGACTGTTGCTCCCCGACAGAAATGTGAGCTCCACGAAAGAAAAGTCCTGGCTTTTCCTCTCTGTATACCTGTTACCCAGAACAGTGCTTGGCACCTGTGAAGTGCTTCAGACATATTCGATCAATAATTAAAGAATGGGTCTATGTATGGCACAGACAACCTAGCGTTTTTAAAAGATGATTTAAAAACAGTGTAAATTCTGAGCAAGGCTCACTCTAGATGTGGAGGTAGTCACGTTTAAATTACAAGAAAAAATTGCAGCCAGGCGTGGTGGCTCACGCCTGTAATCCCAACACTCTGGGAGGCCGAGGCGGGCGGTTCACTTGTGGTCAGGAGTTCAAGCCCAGCCTGACACTCCTCTAATCCCAACTACTCAGGAGGCTGAGGCAGGAGAATCGCTTGAACCCGGGAGGGGGAGGTTGCAGTGAGCCGAGACTGCTCCACTGCACTCCAGCCTGGGCAACAGAGCAAGATACCATCTCAAAAAATAAATAAATAAATAAAAATAAAATAAAATTTTAAAAAAGGATAAGAAATAGAAAAAGAAAAAATTGCTAATACCCAGTGCCAAGCCAGAGCTACCTTTTGATAAAAAACAAATACTGCCCTCTGATGGTAGTAGTTTTTTAATTTTTAATTTTAGCAGCAATAAACATCCTCATTTCCTGAATACCAAACTATGGCTGCCCACGATGGCAGAGCCAGTGGGAGGGACAAGAAGATGCACAATGTGCTTTGCCATCTGAGTCCAGGATAATTCTCTCAGCTACCACCCACTACACACCCACACACTACACACCCACACCCACCCACTACACACCCACACACTACACACCCCACCCATTACACACCCACACCCACACACTACACACCCACACCTACACACCCACACCCACCCACTACACACCCACACACTACACACCCACACCTACATACCCACACCCACCCACTACACACCCACACACTACACACCCCACACACTACACACCCACACCCACCCACTACACACCCACACACCCACACCCACCCACTACACACCCACACACCCACACCCACCCACTACACACCCACACACCCACACCCACCCACTACACACCCACACACTACACACCCACCCACTACACACCCACCCACTACACACCCCACCCACTACACACCCACACCCACCCACTACACACCTACCCACTACACACCCACACCTACACACCCACCCACTACACACCCCACACCCACTACACACCCACACACCTACACACCCACCCACTACACACCCCACACACTACACACCCCACACCCACTACACACCCACACACTACACACCCACACCCAACACCCGTACACCCACACCACACCCCGCACACCCACACACTACACACCCACACCCAACACCCATACACCCACACCCCACACACACCCGCATGCCCACACTCACACACCCACACCCCACACACACACCCACACACCCACATTCACACACCCACACACCCACACCCGCACACCTGCACACCGCACAGCCAAACACTACACACCCACACACTACACACCCTAAACATCTACACACCCACACACCCAAACACACACACCACACACCCACACACCTGCACACTCGCACACTGCACACCCACACACCCAGACACCCCACACACCACATCCCATACCCACACACCACACCACACACCCACACACCCCACACCCACACACCCACACACCACACACCCCACACAACCACACACACCACACACACACCCACACACACCCACACCCACAGACCCTGGACACCGCCACCCACACACCACATACCCACACACCCCACACACCCACACACCCACACACCCACATGCACCCACACACCCCACACACCCACACACCACACACACCCCACACACCACACACCCACACACACCACACGCACGCACCCACACACCACACACCCACACACCCCATACACCCACACACCCCAACCTTCCAACTACATTACTGCCCCTAGCCTTTTTTTTTTTTTTTTGATACGGAGTTTCACTCTGTTGCCCAGGCTGGACTGCAGTGGCGCGATCTTGGCTCACTGCAACCTCCACCTCCCGGATTCAAGCGATTCTCCTTCCTCAGCCTCCTGAGTAGCTGGGATTACAGGCGCCCGCCACCATGCCCGGCTAATTTTGTATTTTTACTAGAGACGGGATTTCACCATGTTGGTCAGGCTGGTCTCGAACTCCTGACCTCAGATGATCCACCCACCTCAGCCTCTCAAAGTGCTGGGATTACAGGCATGAGCCACCAGGCCCAGCCCTAGCCTCTCTTATATAGAAATTCTAGAACCCCACTGATTAACTTGGCAGTGCTAGGGTGGGCCTGTCCAGACGCAGTGTCAGGAAGATAGTGACACAGCTTGCTTGCTTGCGCCAGCTGGGATCCAGAGGCGGGTAACCCGTAACATGGCAATTGTTCTTTATTCTGTCTGGCTTCTCAACTTGACCTCTTCTTTTTTTTGCCTCCAACTTGCTGCTCTTTCCTGCTTCCTGTTATCAGCTCCTCTCATAGGTAGAAATGTGGAAAATCTAAAATATATTAGTCCGATGCATCAAAAGCATACCCTAAAAGGGAGGCCAGGCGTGGTGGCTCATGCCTGTAATCTCAGCATTTTGGGAGACCAAGGCAGGTGGATTACTTGAGCTCAGGAGTTTGAGACCAGCCTGGCCAACATGGTGACACCCCATCTCTACTAAAAATACAAAAATTAGCTGGGCGTGGTGGTGGGTGCCTGTAGCCCCAGCTACTCGGGAGGCTGAGGCAAGAGAATTGCTTGAACCTGGGAGGTGGAAGTTGCAGTGAGCTGAGATTGTGCCACTGCACTCCAGCCTGGGCGACAGAGCAAGACTCTGCCTCAAAAAACGAAACAAAACAAAACGCAAAAGCATCCAAGCATGCCATAAAAGGCTAATAGATTTTTTTAAATTTGTTATTTATTTATTTTTGAGACAAGGTCTTGCTCAGTCGCCCAGGCTGGAGTGCAATGACTCAATCTCAGTTCCCTGCAGCCTCCACTTCCCAGGCTCAAGCGATCCTCCCACCTCAGCCTCCCTAGTAGCTGAGACCACAGGTGCACACCATCATATCCAGCTAATTTTTTTGTATTTTTTTCAGAGATGAGGTCTCACTTTTTGCCCACACTGGTCTTGAACTCCTGGACTCACCTGATCCTCCTGCCTCAGACTCCCAAAGTGTTGGGACTATAGGCATGAGCCACTGCACCTGGCCCTAAGTGTTGGGACTACAGGCATGAGCCACTGCACCTGGCCCTAAAAAGATGTTAATCTGTTTATCATACAGGCTATCAGTGCCAAAGTATAATTTTCAAAATTCAAAAAACATAATTCTCATATAAATAGAAAATGAATCCATGTTTAAGACTTATTAACCCATTGGTGAAGAAGACCAGTAAGATGTAAAGCTAGTTCAAAGAATGTTTACAGGCATTCACAAAGGGATGTTAAAATAAGACTGTTAGTTTAGATATAATAGTGGTTAATGGACTGGACGCAGTGGCTCACAATTGTAATCCTTTGGGAGGCCAAGGTGGGTGGATCGCTTTAGGTTAGGAGTTCGAGACCAGCCTGGCTAACATAGTGAAACCCCATCTCTACTAAAAATACAAAAATTATCAGTCATGGTGGTGCACACTTGTAATCTCAGCTACTTGGGAGGCTGAGGCGGGAGGATCACTTGAGTCTGGGAGGTGGAGGCTGCAGTGAGCCAGCATACGGCCACTGCACTGTATTCTGGGCAATGGAGTGAGTCGCTGTCTCAAGGGAAAAAAAAAGCGGTTAATGTCCTCTAGGGAAATGAAAATAACCTTCACAGTTATATTTTTTAGTGTGCAGAAATCTTCAAGTTAATATGCAGCTGCACCATGTCTAGGCTCTAATCAAATAGTAAATAGCAAAGTCAAACAGTTACATTGTTCTAGAAAATTAACCCTTGTGGAAGCTTTTAAATAATGCCCCAGTATGACATTGAAAAGACATGTGGCCCTGATTTTTGCCTTATTGTAAGTTTTGGGTAGTTTTGGATAGTTAACACAAGTTTATGTATTCTTCAACGTCTTACCTTCTTCTATTAGTCTTTCCCTGTTTTGGAGTGTGTTAGTACTTCTCAAATTAAACAGTGGATATGAGAAACAGAAAATGTAAATCTCTGAAAACTTCTGTTGTTACTAGTTGACAATTCTAATTTCAGGGTGGGGAGAAAAAAGGAAAAGTGAGGGAAGAGATGAAAAGTTTTGAGTTAGGCCAGGCGCAGTGGCTCATGCCTGTAATCCCAGCACTTTGGGAGGCCGAGCAGGGCAGACACGCGGTCAAGAGATCAAGACCATCCTAGGCAACATAGTGAAACCCCGTCTTTACTAAAAAAAAATACAAAAATTAGCTGGGCATGGTGGTGCACGCCTGTAATCCCAGCTACTTGGGAGGTTGAAGCACGAGAATCGCTTGAACCTGGGAGGCGGAGCTTGCAGTGAGCCGAGATTGCGCCACTGCACTCCAGCCTGGCGACAGAGCAAGACTCCGTCTCAAAGGAAAAACAAAACAAAACAAAACAAAAAGTCTGGGTGCAGTGGCTCATGCCTGTAATCCCAGCACTTTGGGAGGCCGAAGAGGGCGGATCACCTGAGGTCAATAGTTCGAAACCAGCCTGACCAACATGGAGAAACCCCATCTCTACTAAAAATACAAAAAATTAGCCGGGCATGGTGGCACATGCCTGTAATCCCAGCTACTCGGGAGGCCGAGGCAGGAGAATTGCTTGAACCCTGGAGGCAGAGGTTGCAGTGAGCTGAGGTCATGCCATTGCACTCTAGCCTGGGCAACAAGAGTGAAACTCCGTCTCAAAAAAAAAAAAATTTTGAGTTAAATGAATTTTGAGGATTATATATAATGAGGTTTAATGTATCCATTCTATTTCTATTGTTCATTATTAGAAATAACAGATACCTCTAAGTTTCCTGAGGGCAGAGAAGGCCTCTGGCCAAAAATGTGAAAATTATCTAGTATCCAGTATATAATATCAGGAAAGAGGGAGAATGGAATCAAGAAATATTTAATAGTAGTGATGACAGATGTCTTGGCTGTGGCTAAAATTTGCTTCTCAGTAGAGAGGCATATGGCAATCTTACTGGCCCAACTACACAAGGCTACAGTTAGGCCACGGAGGGGAGAAGAAGGCAGCCTTAAAAGGTTCCTGGATTAGGCGTCCACGTTTAAGTTAGGCCCAAGGAACATTCATTCCATTTGAAGACTGCCCTATCTGTCTTGAGCATGTACCACCATTTTTTTCCTTTTGGTGGACCATGTGTATATACATATATGTGTGTGTGGAAATTTTTTTTCCATTTTTTTACAAATGGAAAATATATATATTTTTAAATCTAACCTTCCTAATCTTTTTAATTTTATTTTATTTTATTTGAGATGGAGTTTCGCTCTTGTTACCCAGGCTGGAGTGCAATGGCGCAATCTCGGCTCACTGCAACCTCCGCCTCCCAAGTTCAAGTGAGTCTCCTGCCTCAGCTTCCCGAGTAGCTGGGATTACAGGCACCTGCCACCACGCCCAGCTAATTTTTTGTATTTTTAGTAGAGATGGGGTTTCTCCATGTTGGTCAGGCTGGTCTCGAACTCCTGACTTCAGGTGATCCCCTTGCCTCGGCCTCCCAAAGTGCCAGGATTACAGGCGTGAGCCACCGCGCCCAGCCTAACCTTCCTAATCTTTTATCACTTCTCTTCTCTGTACTTCTTCTTCCCTTTTTCCTATCTACTATAGGAATTAGCTACTATATATTATCTACTATATATATATTATCTACTATAATTCCATCTTTTTACATTTTCTTCTTCAAATTGTTGGTGCAGTTGCCAATACCATAGTAAGCATTTTGTACCCACCCAAGTGACTTTAGGATCTGGCTGATTTTATTCTCCATTTTGCCACTCATCAATGTTCCCAGGATCTTTCAACATCTGAGCTGTTGCTCCTTTAGACTCCTCGATTTCACAGGACTCTGTAACTTTCTTGATTTCCTGTACTTCCCTCTCTATCTGTCTTGGTTTGGAATGTGAAGAGGCCGGATCTGATTAGCACCAGGGCTTCTAAACTTCTGAGATCTCTTTACTCAGCATTCCCCTTCTATGACCCAATTGCTTTACCTATTTTCTCCCAAGCAAACCTGCCACAAGTTGCTAGAACTGCCCTGTGCAACGAGTCAGCCCCTGTCATTTTACACGCTGTCTGCTGGCTCCACAGGACTCTATCCAGCCTTAGATTCCAAGCTCCACTGCTTTGCGCTGCCCTTGCCAGCTTCCCGGCCTTCCTCAGTCCCTGATGCCTGCTCTGTCCACTGTATCAGTCTCTTCCCGGAGGTCTCCCGGCCTATTCTTGAGAGACAGTTGGTCCACATTGTGTCCAGAGATGGGAGAGGCTAATGGAAGAGGCTTATTCCCTTGTTAATGGAATTTTTTGCTGCAAGAAACAGAAAAATACCAATTTAAATTGTTTTTTATCTTTATTATCTTTATTTATTTATTTATTTGGACAGAGTCTTGCTCTGTCTCCAGGCTGGACTGCAATGGTGCAATCTGGGCTCACTGCGACCTCTGCCTCCCAGGTTCAAGCGATTCTCCTGCCTCAGCCTCCTGAGTAGCTGGGACTACAGGCATGCTCCACCATGCCCGGCCAATTTTTGTATTTTTAGTAGAGATGGGGTTTCACCATGTTGGCCAAGCTGATCTCGAACTCTTGACCTCAGGTGATCCGCCTGCTTTGGCCTCCCACAGTGCTGAGATTACAGGTGTGAGCCACTGTGTCCAGCCTAAATTGGTTTTTGAAATGTGAAATTTGGCCGGGTGCAGTGGCTCATGCCTATAATCCCAGCGCTTTGGGAGGCCAAGGCGGGCAGATCACAAGGTCAGGAGTCTGAGACCAGCCTGGCCAACATGGTGAAATCCCATCTCTACTAAAAATACAAAAATTTCTGGGCGTGGTGGCGGGCGCCTGTAGTCCCAGCTACTCGGGAGGCTGAGGCAGGAGAATCGCTTGAACCCGGGAGGTGGAGGTTGCAGTGAACCGAGATCGCACCACTGCACTCCAGCCTGGGAGACAGAGCAAGACTCTGTCTCAATCAATCAATCAATCAATCAATAAAATGGGAAATTTGTTAATTCATATAACGAGGTAGGGCAGCCTCCATGTGCAGCATATCAGGGTTCTGTATCCTTCTTTCTGTGATTCTCTTTGTTCTGCCCTCATTAATGATGACTGTCATCCTCAGGCTGGCAACAAAACGACCACAGTATTTCCCAATATCACATTCAGACACAACCACGTCTAGAGAAGCAGAGAGGCCTTTTCTTTTCTCCCACAAATATAGAACACCTTTCTACAGTTGATCTCAGCCGAAAGGCAGAGAAGAAATCTAGAACATCTTTCTCACAAGTCCTCATAGATGCTGCTTTCACATCTCATTGGTCAGAAACAGGTAATGTGCCCATCTCTAAACAAATCACAGACAATGGAATGGGATCACTGGTATTTCTTTATTATTCATTTTTAAATTTTATTCTTTATTTATTTCTTTTTCTTTTCTTTTTTTTTTTTTGAGAGAGAGTTTCACTCTTGTTGCCCAGGCTGGAATGCAATGGCACGATCTCGGCTCACTGCAACCTCTGCCTTCCAGGTTCAAACGATTCTCCTGTCTCAGCCTCCCAAGTAGCTGGGATTACAGGCATGTGCCACCATGCCTGGCTAATTTTGTATTTTTAGTAGAGACGGGGTTTCTCCATGTTGGTCAGGCTGGTCTCAAACTCCCAACCTCAGGTGATCTGCCCACCTCAGCCTCCCAAAGTGCTGGGATTATAGGCATGAGCCACTGCACCTGGCCTATTCTTTATTTCTTTTAGAGACAGCGTCATTCTGTCTCTCACCCAGCCTGGAGTGCAGTGGAATAATCATAGCTCACTGCGGCCTTGAACTCCTGGCTCAAGCAATCCTCCTGCCCCAGCCTCCCAAGTAGTTGGAACTACAGGTGTGCTAATTTTTTAAAATTTCTGTAGAGATGGGCAGGGAGCACTCTCACTATATTGCCCAGGCTGGTCTTGAACTCCAGGCCTCAAGCAATCCTCTCACCTCGGCTTCTCAAAGTGCTGGGATTACAGGCATGAGCACACCGTGCCCAGAGATTTATTTAGATCAGTCAGGATTTGCCTCCGGATCTGAGACTTGTGTGGGAGGCTTATACTTGAACAACAAAATTGGACTTCTGCAGGCAATAAAGAAGGAGATTAAGGATGTTGAGTAGGTAATCAGCAGTATCTGCTATAGTGTGAAATGGTGGACCATTGAGAGGAAGACTTTATAAACACTTTTCAGCTTGAAGGTCGCTAATTTAACCATTAACGGTCTCTTCTTGTAAATTTGACCATGGGAAGTTCTTTTGTTAGTTTGTCGGTTGTTTTTTCAGGGGAGATGGTGAGGATGGGGGAGATTCTTTTTAATTTCTAACTCCTGGCCGGGTGCAATGGCTCACGCCTGGAATCCCAGCACTTTGGGAGGCCGAGGTGGGCGGATCACAAGGTCAGGAGTTTGAGACCATCCTGACGAACATGAAACCACGTCTCTACTAAAAATAAAAAATTAGCTGGGTGCGGTGGCTCACGCCTGGAATCCCAGCACTTTGGGAAGCCGAGGCGGGCGAATCACTTGAGGTCAGGAGTTCAAGACCAGCCTGACCAACATGGTGAAACCACATCTCTACTAAAAATACAAAAATTAGCCAGGCATGGTGGCGGGTGCCTGTAATCCCAGCTACTCGGGAGGCTGAGGCAGGAGAATCACTGAACCTGGGAGGTGGAGGTTGCAGTGAGCCAAGATCTCACCACTGTACTCCAGCCTGGGCGACAAAGTTAGATTCCATCTCAAAAAAAAAAAAAAAAAAAAAAGTAACTCCTGGATTATCCATTTTTGTTTGACATCCCCAGAATATACTTTCTCCATCTATGTTGAACATATCCAACCTTAGCCTTGCATCTGAAAAAAGGTCCTCTGCTCACCTGCTCTTTTCACCCTAACTACTCCCTCTCTCCTATGCTTCTTCCCATCTCGCTCTAATCCCATGGCTCTGCTTGCGCCATTTAGGGGAACACAGAAATCGTTAACCTCAACCTGCTGTCGGCATCATAAACTGACCTGACCATAACTACATCAGTCTTTTGTCTTGTTCTTCCTTCTCCTTGAAAGCTGTCTGTTTCCAGACATCCTGAGGAGTTTCCACAGAGTAAATACTCAAAAGTGTTTACTGAATAAATGCATTTATTCTGTCCCTTCTCCAGCCTTTTTCAACCTCCACCTTTGTGTGGGCGCAAGGAATTTTTACATGTATTTTTGGTCCCCCTTGCTCAGTCTTCAAACAATGGTCTGCAGACATTTGTTTTCTATTTTTTAACAGCTTTATCGAGACATAATTTATATAGCTCAGTATATACCATAACATTTACCTGTTTTTAAGTGCACAAATCAATTCAGTGAATTTATAGAATTGTGAAAACAAGACACAATCCAGTTTTAAAGTGTTTGCATCAACCTCCAAAAAATCATCTCCCATCCCCAGCCCCAGGCAGCCATAATCAATTCCCATCCCCAGACCCAGGCAGCCATAATCAATTCCCATCCTCAGCCCCAGGCAGCCATAATCAATTCCCATCCCCAGCCCCAGGCAGCCATAATCAATTCCCATCCCCAGCCCCAGGCAGCCATAATCAATTCCCATCCGCAGCCCCAGGCAGCCATAATCAATTCCCATCCCCAGCCCCAGGCAGCCATAATCAATTCCCATCCGCAGCCCCAGGCAGCCATAATCAATTCCCATCCCCCGCCCCAGGCAGCCATAATCAATTCCCATCCCCAGCCCCAGGCAGCCATAATCAATTCTCATCCCCAGCCCCAGGCAGCCATAATCAATTCCCATCCGCAGCCCCAGGCAGCCCTCATCTGCTTTCTGTCTCTATAGAGCTGCTTTAAAAAAAAATATTTCATGGCCGGGTGCAGTGGCTCATGCCCGTAATCCCAGCACCTTGGGAGGCCAAGGCGGGTGGATCACCTGAGGTCAGGAGTTTGAGACCAGCCTGGCCAACATGGCGAAACCTCATCTCTACTAAAAATACAAAAATTAGCCAGGCGTGGTGGCGGGCGCCTGCAGTCCCAGCTACTGGAGAGGCTGAGGCAGGAGAATCGCTTGAATCTGGGAGGCAGAGGTTGCAGTGAGCCAAGATCACATCACTACACTCCAGCCCGGGCAACAGAGTGAGTCTCCATCTCAAAAAAAAAAAAAAAAGAAAAGAAAAATCTTGTGGGGAATGCCTTTCTACGTATGACAAAAGGTGCAGATGTGTAGAGAAAAATATTCATAAATTTTACCACATTAAACAATTCTACCAGGAAAAAATATCAAATTTTTTTAAATGACAAGGTGGAAATATTTGCAACTTATTTCATAGACTAAGGACTAATTTCCTTGATAAACAACTTTTATAAATCTGTAAGAAAAAGACCAGCAACCCAATAAAAAAATGAACAAAGGACTTAAGTTATTTCATAAAAAATGGGTCTTGGCCGTGTGCGGTGGCTCACGCCTGTAATCCTAGCACTTTGGGAGGCCGAGGTGGGCGGATCATGAGGTCAAGAAATCAAGACCATCCTGGCCAACATGGTGAAGCCCTGTCTCTACTAAAAATACAAAAATTAGCCTGGCATGGTGGTGCATGCCTGTAGTCCCAGCTACTCAGGAGGCTGAGGTGGGAGAATTGCTTGAACCCAGGAGGGCTGCAGTGAGCTGAGAGGTTGCAGTGAGGTTGCAGTGAGCTGAGATCGCACCACTGCACTCTGGCCTGGCGACAGAGCGAGACTCAGTCTAAAAAAAAAAAAAAAATGGTTCTTAAATATATGATACTCAGACCCCCTCAAAATAAGAGAAATGCAAATCAAAACTATAAGATACCATTTTTATATTAGAATATTGGCAAAACTCAAAAAGTTTGATAACATTCTCCATTGATGAGTATATGGGGGAAATGGGTACTCAAATGTATTGCTGATAGTTTAAGTTGGTACAACCTTCGTGGTAAGTACTACGCATTGGTAAAATGCACTCCAACCTCATCTCCTACCATTTCTTCTCTTGCACAATTTGTATTAGCCACATTGGCCTCCTGCTCCTCCTCAAACATGCAAGGCACACTCCAGCCCCAGGGCTAATACACTTACCTTTCCCCGCTAATCCTGAAATGCATACCAATTTTTCCTTGCCTCCTTCAGGCCTTTGCTCATCATGTGATCTAAAACAGTGGCTCCCATCCCCTCTATCATTCTCCTTTTCATCCCATTTTGAGCACTTACCATCTGATGACACTATTCTATGCATTTATGTCTCTGCTCTCCAACTGTAAACCCAGGACTTTGCTGTATATACTGCTGTAACCCCAAACTCCAGAACAGTACAGGCTTAGAATGTAGTAAGTGCTTATTAACTACAAATAATGAATGAATGAACGTCTATTGGTGACAACTTAGTATCTATTAAAACTTAGAATGCACATACTTAGTAATTCCCCTTTAGGCATTTATCTAATAGATATCCTTGCATATGTGCAAAACAGAGAATGTACAAGGTTATTTGTTGTAGCACTGTTTGTAGTCATGAAAGGAGAAAACAACCCAAGGATAAATTTTTTTTTTTTTTTTTGAGACAGAGTTTCACTCTTGTTGCCCAGGCTGGAGTGCAATAATGGCATGACCTCGGCTCACCACAACCTCCACCTCCCGGGTTCAAGCGATTCTCCTGCCTCAGCCTCCGGAGTAGCTGGGATTACAGGCATGCACCACCACACCCGGCTAATTTTGTATTTTTAGTAGAGACGGGGTTTCTTCATGTTGGTCAGGCTGGTCTTGAACTCCCAACCTCACGTGATCTGCCCGCCTCAGCCTCTCAAAGTGCTGGGATTACAGGCATGAGCCACTGCGCCCAGCAACCCAAGGACAAATTTTAAAATAAGTTACCTATAGCCAGGCACAGTGGCTCACATCTGTAATCCTAGCACTTTGGTAGGCTGAGGTGGGTGGATCACTTGAGCCCAGGAGTTCCAGACAAGCCTAGGCAACATGGTGAAACCCTGTCTCTACAAAAAATACAAAAATTAGCCAGGTGTGGTGGTGGGCACCTGTACTCACAGCTACTTGGGAGGCTGAGAGGGGAGGCTCACTTGAGCCCAGGAGGTTGAGGCTTTGGTGAGCTGTGATCATGCCACTGCACTCCAGCCTGGGTGACAGAGTGAGACCCTGTCTCAAATAAAAAATAAACTACCTATATCTATACAATAAAGAATAAAGGAATACTATGTAGATATGGAAAGATCTCTAATTCAGAAAATTATTTGGCTCCCTTTGGCTACTGTATGTATGAGATCTGACTATTTCAAAACTCTGGTGATATCACTACAAGAATGAGCTCCCTTTTAATGAAGTGCTTAATGGTAAGGAGAGTGGAAGTGAACAGGTAGAAACACTGAGTAATTATTTTCAGTTTTATTTAATAAACATCAATTTCCTTGTAGAAAACATAGAATTTCTACCAACTAAACAATATTGTAATAAGGATAAATGTATCAAATCACAGATAATGTTGTTAAACGAAGATGCTGTCTTGCAGATCCATTCATGAACAGGCCTAAACTGGCAGTGCCTATTGTTCATTTATTATGGGTGGATTTCCCATTTTACAAACAAACCTTTTATTTATGGGAAGAGGTTCAGCGTTTCGCAATGTCTTTAGTATGTATTTCCCGATACCGGAGGGGCAGAATTCCCCCTCTGTCCATCAAGTGACATCTGCTTGCAGCTGTAGGGAATTTTGCAGGGTACTCTTTTCCAGAGATAAATAATATAAAGATATAACACATAAGAGGTAATTCCCTGGTAACCATATATGTCCCCCAATCTTGTCTTGTCAAACTATAATTTGCTTATGGTTCCTCAAAAAAAAAATTGTTTCTTGTCCCTTTACTACTTCCCCTCTCCTTCTTTTCAGTTGCTCTTATCAGGAATCCTACACAAGCATCTACCTAAACACTACTATTTCAAGGGCCAGGCCACCTCCTATCTCTTTACTAAAGGACAAAGTCTTCCCTTACTATTCTACTCTACAGTAATATATGCTCTGGCCTTCTTTAGCCTTTATCATGCATTTGGCACTAATGTTTGTGTTGCTTAATACTGCTAATTAGCTTTTCACAGGTTTTGACATCTTCCAGTCAGATTGTAAGCTTTTTTTTTTTTTTTTTTTTGAGATGGAGTTTTGCTCATCGCCCAGGCTGGAGTACAATGGCGCGATCTCGGCTCACTGCAACCTCAGCCTCCCAGGTTCAAGCGAATCTCCTGCCTCAGCCTCCTGAGTAGCCGGGATTACAGGCACCCGCCACCACGCCTGGCTAATTTTTGTATTTTTAGTAGAGGCGAGGTTTCACCATGTTGGCTAGGCTGGTCTCGAACTCCTGACCTTAGGTGATCCACCCGCCTCAGCCTCCCAAAGTGCTGGGATTACAGGCGTGAGCCACCGCACCCGGCATGATTGTAAGCTCCTTAAAGGCAGATTCCTTTATTCTGTTTTTCCCATACTCCTCATGCACCTACATAGTAGAT
This sequence comes from Homo sapiens, assembly GCF_000001405.40. NCBI lineage: Eukaryota > Metazoa > Chordata > Mammalia > Primates > Hominidae > Homo > Homo sapiens. The sequence goes on from NC_000003.12 coordinate 196,707,405, forward strand.
GCTTTAAATGTCCTGGTTTTGAAAAGTAACATGGTCAATCCCCTATAACCCAACATATTTAGTATTCTTTACAGCTTCTTCCAGAACCAGTCTGGTAATAAACATGGATATTCTGCTAGCCCAATGCATGTTTTGAGTGTTTGGTATCAGAACTCATCAGCTGACTCTGTGTCCCAGCCACAGGACTGCAGTTGATCGTCCTGTGGAAATTCAACCTCAATGTCATAAACAAAATTTGGATCATCCTTCTTCTTCTGATTTTTCTCAAAAAGTTCATCCATGATGCTCTTTCTTTTGGCAAGCTCCTTGTCATCTAGTTTGTTCAGGTCTTCCTCAGGATCAATGGTTGTTTCCCGTTGAATTTGTTCCATTGTTTCTGCCAGACTCTGCCCCGACAAGTAACCTCGTAAAAAACTGAATAGCTTCTCTAGCTGCCTCAGGGATACTTGTTCTAGGTAACTCTTGTGTCGCGGATTATTCTTTAATTGTTCAGCAGCTCTGGTGCAATCTGGGAGAGAGAAGAAAACTATATACCACATACGTACCACGTACATCATATACGCCATAAACTACTGCAACAGCCAAAACAGAACAAAAACTCTGAACCCTGAAAATATTATCTCCATTATAGTCAAGTAGCTAAATGGCTTGATTGGAATGAATTACTTTGTAGAACCATTCCTTTATATTGAGCTTTCAGTGTGGTGGGAGAAGGACAGATACAGTTTTGACTTCTTTAACTTAAAAATCACTTTGTAGAGATATTAAACACTTTCAACTGGAGAATATGTCTGAGAAGAAAAGTGATATTATAGCTTTTAGATAGCAGTAGTGGTATTAATAAAATATTAAGACTACAAATAAAAAACATTTGGAATGAGAGAAGGGAATTAATATTATTGAATAATGCTATATCATTTAACCTAGGCAGCAATCCCAAAAGGATTATTAATTATCAGATTGGAAAAAAACACTACAATTCCCTTTTATAGATTAGGAAACTGAAGCTCACTGAGAGTAAGTAATTCATCCAGTGTCACACATCCAGTCCCTGACAGAGTCATGATGTGAACCTGTATTTAGAGAATATTTAAGACAGGAGGCAAGATAAGACATGAGGTACCTGAAAACTTTGAAAAGTTTCGAACTGGCATAATGCGCTGGCGAATTTTCCCCTTGATTTCACTCTCATAGATTAAGATAATAGCTGGAGGCTGAAACCTAATCCCACATTTCTTGGCAGTGCACATCATTCCCATGTACATGTCCGGGTAAGTCAGAGGAAATCTGATGAATATGTGTAAGTTGCATAATGACTTCCTGCTAAAGGGAAAAAACAACTAGGTGTTGGATAAATGTCATTCATTCCCCTCGCCCCTTTGCCCCAGAAGATCTGGTTCTAGTCCGGCTCTGGCCACACACGCTCAGCCTGTGAAACTCATTTTTTTTAAAATTAAAATACGGACTGCTTCATGAATTTGTGTGTCATCCTTGCGCAGGGGCCATGCTGATCCTCTCTGTATCATTCCAATTGTGGGGTATGTGCGCGGGAACGACCACAAAGCTCAGTTATTTTGAGAACTGCCCTGAAAGTTCAGCTTGGCCCTGGGTTAGTTTCAACCTGTTGGATCCCTAAGATCTGGTTTTTTCAAGGATATAGACTTGTTCATATGTGAATCTGGGGATGCAATCCAGTTTGAACCTCTTAGTGTACTGCACTCTTACTGAAGATCGAATATGAACCCCTAAGTCAGCCCAATAGCTGACCTATAGGGTCTTTACTATTTATCAATTAAGAAAGGGCATATCGAGCATCCTCGGTATCAAGGTACTATGATAAGGTAAGTTTTTTAACCTTAATCATTTTGTCCTGAGAGGTTCACCAATCCAGAACTGTCTCCTTTGTACTTTCCCAATTATTTTACTAGAGTTTTTTGTCATTATTTATTTAATCATCTATCTTCCCTTCTAGTCAATATGCTCCATGAGGGTGGGGGGCATATTCATTTTCCACCACAATATCTCAGCATAATACCTGGAACGTAGTGGGCATTCCATACATTGTTTAATGCTATGAATTAACATGATGGTCCCTGTACATTTTTGAAAGCATTTACAGTCTAGAAGCCTGATCAAAAAGCAGACCTGCTGCAGAATCAGCTTCTTCATATACACGTCAGTAACGTCTGCAGCTACATCATATACATCACATATCTCAGCTTCTTCATATACAATAGTCAGTAATGTCTGCAGGGCTTTTATTTTGGCCTGTGTGTCTCACTATATGATAATTTTCTAGCTACAAGAAACAGCTATTTGTAGATGAATACTTACTATTCTCTCTTCCTTTCCCCACCCTCAGTGCCCAAAGAATACACTTAACCCTAAGCACTGCTTTTGATGTGACTGTGACATTCCCAGAAAGATTTGTAAATGTCAAGAAACATTGAGGTAAAGTGGCATAGGGTGATGATATCTTCGTGAACTCAGTTCTGCTGGAGAATCACTATTAGGAACATACTTTTTATTAAATACTTAGCAGTGATTATACACGTCATTGTAGAATACTGGGGGCAAAGGAGAGGGGAAACCTATAGAAAATAATCACCCTTGATTGTGTCCAGTCTTTTTTCTAGGCATATAGTTTATAGTATGTTTCATACATACCTTATCATACAAGCTATTTCCTGACGTTCAAATTTAACAACATATATTATTATTTTGTCATCAAATGTTTTACTACAATGTAACATTTTATATGACTGCTAAATGTTTTATTTTATGGATGTACTATAATCATATTATTCACCACTTATTGTTGGGCATGAGAATTTTTACTCTTAGAAAATTAATCACATATAAGCCCAGGCACAGTGGCTCACCCCAGCCAGCACTTTGGGAGGTCAAGGTGGGCAGATCATTTGAGGTCAGGAGTTCGAGACCAGCCTGGCCAACATGGTGAAAACCACGTCTGTACTAAAAATACAAAAATTAGCTGGACATAGTGGCAGGTGCCTGTAATCCCAGCTACTCGAGAGGCCAAGGCAGGAGAATCACTTGAACCTGGGAGGCGGAGGTTGCAGTGAGCTGAGATGGTACCACTGCACTCCAGCATGGGTGACAAGAGCAAGACTCCATCTCAAAAAGATGGAGGCAGGTGTGGTGGCTCAGGCCTGTAATCCCAACACTTTGGGAGGCCAAGGAGAGGAGATACCTTGAGGCCAGGAGTTTGAGACCAGCCTGGGCAACACAGCGAGACCATGCATGTCTCTACAAAAAATTTAAAAATTGGCCAGGCATGGCAGCATGCACCTGTAGTCCCAGCCACACCAAAGGCCAAGGTGGGAGAATCGCCTGAACCCAGGAGTTTGGGGCTGCAGTGAGTTGAGATGGTGCCACTGCACAACAGCCTCTCCAAAGCATGATACGCCTATTCTTAAAAAAAAAAAAAAAAAAAAAAAAAACTACTTTAAAAAATTACTGTGCTCTACCTCTAATCTGATGCAATGAGCTCACACCATTTCTCCTTCTTTTCCTTCTCTTTTCTTGCTTTTTTTTTTTTTTTAACGAATACTATTCCCAATTCACCTAACTAAAATTTGATGTTAGTAAACTACAACCTACGGGGCACATATAAACTCCACACACTGAAGCAATGGCTGTACTCGTCAAAGATGTATGCAGTTGGTACTCAAATAATGTAGTTTTTTTTTTACTAGACTCTTTTTAAAATTTAACTTTAATTTTTGCTAAAGTAATGTTTGTATTTGGAATATAAAATAATTCTATGAGGCTTATAACAACAAACTATCGTCCTTGGCCCTACTCCTCTTCATAGGGAGCCAGACTGAATTTTAAAAGGCATATCTTCCAAAATTTCTCTCTCCATTTCTTAAGAAACATGCTTATACTACCATTTTCAGTTTTTTTTTTTCTTTTGAAACAGAGTCTCCCTCTGTCGCCTAGGCTGCAGTGCAGTGGCGTGATCTCCCCTCGCTGCAACCTCCGCCTCCTGGGTTCAAGCGATTCTCGTGCCTCAGCCTCCCGAGTAGCTGGAATTACAGGTGCCTACCACCATGCCCAGCTAATCTTTGTATTTTCAGTAGAGACGGGGTTTCGCCATCTTGGCCAGGCTGGTCTCGAACTCCTGACCTCAGGTGATTCGCCCAAAGTGCTGGGGCTATAGGCGTGAGCCACCTGCCCGGCTATTTTCAGTTTTGGATAGTATGTTTTGACATACACTCTGTTTCCTCTTTGAGACACCCGCTCTAGAGCCCTCTATTCCACTCCAAGCCGCCTGGATGCTCTCTTGGCCTGCTTACAGATTCCACTCTGTTTAGGAAGAAGGACGGCACGTTTATCCAATTATTCTTCCTGGACACGAATACTCCTCTCCCCAGAGATCAGTAACTGCCCACAATCTTGTTAGGAAGCCCCACAGCACCTAAGGGTACGAATGTCCCCAAAGAGTAGACGATTCTCTCCCTACTCACGTCTCCACTAGTGCAAGGCTGGCTTTCTTACCCTTAGAGGAATACAGAAATGACATCGTCTGCAGGCCAACGTCTAAACAACCAGGAGTGGGTTTTTCCACCCAACCGCAGTGCACGCAAAGCCCCTAAGCCGACTGTGAGACCGGGCGGAGCCTGGCGCTGCAGGAAGAGGCGACAGCCACAGCCCTACTGACGAGCCCGAGGGGTGAACTCCCCGGCGGGAGGCCCGAACCCTCAAACACCGGGAAGCGGAGGTGGGGGCCGGCTGGGGGACCGGTCCACCGGCTCCCACCTCGGCGTACAGGGATTCCAGGTCCCGGCGAGCGCTGGCCTAGCGGTTTCCACAGCGACAGGCCGGGCGCGCGTCCCCGCGCGTGCGCAGCTCCTCGCCCGCCCCCGGGTGGGCGGAGCAAGGAACAGCTGGGCGGGGACGACCGCCCCACGCCGCGCGGGAACCCTTGGGGGCCGGGGCTGCAGGCAGCTGGGAACCGCGGGCGCTAGGCGCGCGCACCCAGCACTCGGTCCCAGCCGATAAATCTGGGGCAGCGCGCGGTAGGAGCTGCGGGCGGCCAGGCCCCTTCCTGCGTCCGCACCTGGCCCCGCGCGCCCCTCTCGGGCGTCCGGCTTCCGGCGTCCTGGCGGCTCGGGTGGCGGCGGTTCGGGCGGCCGCCTGGCTGCTCCTCGGGGCGGCGACCGGGCTCACGCGCGGGCCCGCCGCGGCCTTCACCGCCGCGCGCTCTGACGCCGGTAAGGGGGGCGGGGCTTGGGGGGCCAGAGCGTGGGAGCGGTCCCGGCTCCCGGGCCTCTCGGCGGGTTGCGGGGATGTGGGGACCCGGCGCGGGACCTAGATCAGTAGGGCGAGCCGGAGGAGGTCAGACACTAGAGCCGTGTGCCCTCCTTCCCTCCCGTGCGCTTTGCTCTGCGGCGGATCCCGGGTCTCCGGGAGAGTCGGGCTCGGGCCCTGCGGTTCCCAGGCTGGACTGGCCGCCCTGTTACTAAAGTTCTGAGAAGGAAAGTCAGCCGTCAAGCGTCTTGGGATGCTCTTGAGCTGCACGAAGCTTCTGATCACCAAGGGGCCAGGCAAGGCCTTAGCGCCCTGTGAGGCCTGAGAATCCCCAAACTGAATGTAGGACTCCGTGGCAAACTGCTAGTTGTTCGTGCAAGTAGTAGTTGGCAAACTGCTTGTACTACTGAGACGGGCAAGTGCGGGAATAATTACAATAAAGGGTAAGGTTTGATGGGAGGAAAGCACAAACCCTACAAGTTTCTCCATCTGTAAAATGAGGATGTTTCTGTCATCCTTGGTATCATTTAGATCCGTTTAGTATCTGTCAATCAGTGCAGTTCTGCTTGTGTGTTTACATATTGGGTTTTCAAGTTTATCTAAACAAAGGATTATGAGGCCAAGAAGATTTTTTTTTTGAGATGGAGTCTCACTCTGTTGCCAGGCTGGAGTGCAATGGCGCGATCTCGGCTCACTGCAACCTCCGCCTTTCCCAAGTTCAAGCAATTCTTCTGCTTCAGCCTCCCAAGTAGCTGGGATTATTACAGGTGCCCGCCACCATGCCCAGCTAATTTTTTGTATTTTTAGTAGAGACGGGGTTTCGCCGTATTGGTCAAGCTGGTCTTGAACTCCTGACCTCAGGTGGTCCACCCTCCTCAGCCTCCCAAAGTGCCAGGATTACAGGTGTGAACTACCATGCTCGGCCAGAAGAATTTTTAAACAGTTGGATTTGGTAATCTGTAGAGGCTTCCAACGTTAGCATTTTATAATTGAAAAGGGGTCAAAATTAGCGGGGCGTGATGGCGTGCCCCTGTAGTCCCAGCTACTCAGGGGGCTAAGGCAGGAGAATCGCTTGAACTAGGGAGGCGGAGGTTGCAGTGAGCCGAGATCGCGCCATTGCACTCCAGCCTGGGTGACAGAGGGAGACTCTGTCTCAAAAAAAAAAAAAAAAAGGAAAAAGAAGTCAATTTCCAGAGCCAGTTCACCACTACCAAAGTAATAGTTAAGAGGAAAAATGTTGAAGGTAAATTCACATTCAACAAATTCGTTTTAAAAATGGTACTTTTGCCTTTAAAATCATGACATTCTAGTATTTGCTGTACTATTTGTAAATTAGCCTTTCTCCGGTCCCAATGATCAACTGCTGTCTGGTGTACATACCAGTAGAATTTAAGCCTGTTCATAATTTTTCTTCTAATTTAATTTATAGTTGGATAGCAGTCCTCACTTCCCACCCTACCCCCATTAAAATTAAACAGGATGAAGAAAGATCTGGATTTGTGCTGGGCACAGTGGCTCACACCTGAAATTCTAACACATTGGGAGGCTGAGGTGGAAGGATTGCTTGAGGCCAAGAGTTCAAGACCAGCCTGGAAAACATAGCAAGACCCTGTCTCTGCAAAAAAATTTAAAAGTAGCCAGGTGTGGTGGCGTGGGCCTATAATCCTAGCTACTTGGGAGGCCGATGTGGGAGGATTGCTTGAGCTCAGAAGTTCAAGGCTGCAGTGAGCTGTGATCATGCCACTGCATTCCAGCTTGTGTGACAGAGTAAGGCCCTGTCTCTTTTTTTTTTTTTTTTTTTGAGACGGAGTCTTGCTCTCTTGCCAGGCTAGTGCAGTGGCGCAATCTCGGCTTATTGCAACCTTCACCTCCCAGGTTCAAGCGATTCTCCTGCCTCAGCCTCCCAAGTAGCGGGAACTACAGGTGCACACCACGACGCCCGGCTAATTTTTTGTATTTTAGTAAAGACGGGGTTTCACCATGTTGGCCAGGTTGGTCTTAAACTGTTGACCTTGTGATCTGCCTGCCTCCCCCTCCCAAAGTGCTGGGATTACAGGCATGAGTCACTGCACCCAGGCTATTTGTTCTTTTTTTTAAGAGGCAGAGCCTTGCTCGGCTGGGCGCTGTGGCCCATGCCTGTAATCCCAGCATTTTGGAAGGCCAGGGTGGGCAGATCACCAGGTCAGGAGATCGAGACCAGCCTGGCCAACGTGGTGAAACTCCATCTCTACTAAAAATACAAGAATTAGCCGGGCGTAGTGGCGCGTGCCTGTAGTCCCAGCTACTCTGGAGGCTGAGGCAGGAGAATTGCTTGAACCTGGGAGGCAGAGGTTGCAGTGAGCCAAGATCGTGCAACTGCAGTGCAGCCTGGCAACAGAGTGAGACTCCGTCTCAAAAAATAAATAAATAAATAAATAAAAATAAAAAAAGAACAAATAAAAATCTGGATTGGTACAAGATACATATGGAATTTGGGGATTTGTTTATTCAGGAAAAGATCATATGCTTCTCCAAAGCAAATACAATTTCTTTTTTGAGGGCTGGAGATTTTTCAGTGAAATGTAACTAGACAAATTCTCGAAGAGCTGTAACACTAAAATTTCATTCAATTTTAGTGTTGAAAGTGGAAGTATCTTAGGCTTTAAAAATCAGGCAAACCTTTCTTCTAATCGGTCACGTAGTTAGTTGTATGACCCAGGGCCATTTACTAATGCTTTAGAAGTTCAAGTTTCCTCCTGCAAACAAATGGCAGTGATTTTGCTTATTTTGCTATAGATCGTGAAAGTTAAAACACATATGAAAGCACCAAGTAGAGGATCTAGCATGTTAGATATTATTTAACCAGTTATTTTTTTCTATTCTTTTTTCATTCCTTCAAATAGTTTCACCTTCACATCATTTTTCTTAATGCATCTTTTCAGAAATACATCTAATGGATTCAGCAATATTCAATGATAATAACAGGATTATGTAAATAATATATAGTTTTCTGTATGTGTTTGGGGTTTGTTTGTTTGTTTTGAGACAAGGTCTGGCTTTGTCACCCAGGCTGGAGTGCAGTGGTGCAGTCTCTGCTCACTGCAGCCTCCCTCTGCCTCCTGGCCTCAAGCCATGCTCCCACCTCAGCCTCCTAAGTAGCTAATTTTTGTATTTTTCTTAATGGAGATGGAGTCTTGCTATGTTGTCCAGGCTTGTGTGTGTTTTTTAAATGTTCTTCCCACAGATTTACAGCTTTTGAAATGGGACAAAGTTCCATAGCAAATGCCTGGCAGAGTTGCTGGTCAATAGTAACTGAATTTTCAGTTTTAAGATGCTTACATTGAGTAATAGTTTTCTTTTTTTGTGTTTAGAGACAAGGTCTCTCTCTGTCACCCAGGCTTGAGTGCAGTGGTATAATCATAGCTCACTGAAGCCCCCATCCCCTGGGTTCAAGCAATCCTCCCACCTCAAGTGCGAGCTGGCACACCTGGCTCAGAGTAACAGCTTGAGTGTCTGGAATCTGGATGAAGTCAGTATACTGAGATTTGTGCTTATTCTAAGTTTACAGTGGAACCCGTTGAACCTTTACGTGCCTCCAGCTTTGCTTTTTGTTTTTTTTTTAAACCTTCCAGCATCTCCACAAGGCATAAATGTACCATTTTCCTGGTTTTGTAGGCATGGATGTTAGAATATAGAAGTTGCCAGTATGTATCTATCTGATACACAGTTTCAGTGAACAAGGATTAAAATGGAGATTTCCTGGCTCTTTAGCCATCCTGTTCCTTTTTGGTATCTTGGGATCACCTGAATAAAGTAATATTAATAAAAAACACTTACATAGAACACTTAATATGTATTCTTACTACTGTTCTAAGTGCTTCTACTTACATTAAATTCTTACGACAGCTAGTAGAGAGATAAACTATCTTGCCCAAAGTTAACACAGCTGTTAAGTTACAGACTGGGATTTGAAATCAGGCAATCTAACTCCAGAGTCACTGTTCTTAACCACAGTGCTATATTGGAAGTAGATTTATATATATATTTCAAATTGCTTAAATTTTAAAAGGTTTTGTTTTTAGGTTGGTTAGATTTTCTAGGCAAGTAAAGCCTACTAAAATAACTCTTTTATAATTATTTAAATATTATTTTATTCAGTGCTTTTGTTTTTAAAAAAAAATCGTTTGGTTCTTATAGGCATAAGGGCCATGTGTTCTGAAATTATTTTGAGGCAAGAAGTTTTGAAAGATGGTTTCCACAGGTAAGTTGCCTGTTGATTTCTATTTCTATTAAAATAATGTGTCATATAATTGAGAGCAAAAAATTGATGGTTGAAATTTGTATAAATTGAAAAATCAGGCCAGATGCGGTGGCTCTCATCTGTAATCCCAACACTTTGGGAGGCCGAGGCAGGCGGATCACAAGGTCAGGAGTTTGATACCAGCCTGGCCAACATAGTGAAACGCTGTCTCTACTAAAAATACAAAAATTAGTTGGGCATGATGGTACACACACCTATAGTCCCAGCTACTTCAGAGGCTGAGGCAGGAGAATCACTTGAACCCGGGAGGTGGAGATTGTGGTGAGCCGAGATCATGCCACTGCACTCCAGCCTGGGCAACAGAGTGAGACTCTGTCTCAAAAAAAGAAAAAAGAAAAATCACTTGCTTCCTCAAAGTTACTCAGTGATGGCATATGTGGTTCACACTTTGAAATAATGATTAACTGAGTGGAGCAAAGAAGAAAACAAGTATGTATTGTTTACCACGTACAGTTGTCCCTTGGTATCTGAGGGGATTGGTTCCTCCTGGACCTCCCCTGAGGACACCAAAGTCCTCAGATGCTCAAGTTCCCTATATCAAATGGCATAGTACTTGTATAGAACCTACACACACCCTCTCATATACAGAGGTTGTTATATATATACAACTAGTGCCTATATATACAATATTCCATTTAATCTTCACAGTGGCATGAGATAGATGATTTTTTCTTATTTTTCAGATGAGGGAGGTAGAGCTCAAACAATTTAAATAATTTGGTAGAAATTAGGGTGATAGAGCTCTGACTCTAGCTTAGTACTATTATACTTCAAAGCCATCTCAAGTACTATGATACACTGCTCTAAATCACTATGTCTTACTACAGTTGATTCTAAATGACCAAGCTGTTTCCAAAAAAGAAATTATCTTCAAAAGATGAATATTTGCCCATATTGAAGATCTTTAAAAGTCTGGTAAAAAGGTGTGGAAACTGTTCCTTAAGAAAACTTGCCCAAACTGAAGCTTCGCAAGGTGATTATTTTGAAATGATTCTCAGATACTTAATATGTAAATTCTGATTCATTTATTTTTTTTTAATTTTTTTATGCTGGGCACGGTGGCTCATGCCTGTAATCCCAGCACTTTGGGAGGTCGAGGACCCCGGATCACGAGGTCACGAGTTCGAGACCAGCGTGGCAAACACGGTGAAACCCCATCTCTACTAAAAATACAAAACATTAGCCAGGCGTGGTGGTGGGCGCCTGTAATCCCAGCTACTCAGGAAGCTGAGGCAGTAGAATCGCTTGAACCCGGGAGGCAGAGGTTGCAGTGAGCCGAGATTATGCCACCGCACTTCAGCCTGGCAACAGAGCGAGGCAAAACTCCGTCTGAAGAAAAAAAAAAGGGGGGGAAGGGTATAGTTATTTCACCATGAAGTATATTTGTGTTAGGTTTTTTGTAGATAGCTTTTTATGAGTTGAGGACTTAATCTTAAGTTTCTAGTTTCCTGAGAGTTTTCTTTCATGATTGGGTGTTAAATTTTGTCAGATACCTTTTCTTCCTCTGTTTTGAGAGGATCATACAATTTTTATATTTTATTCTCTTAATATGATGAAGTACATTGATGTTTCCAGTAGTGAACGTACTCCTTGGTCATGCGATATTATCTTCTTGAAATATATCTGGATATGTTTTGCTAATAACTTGCTTAGTATTTTTACTTGTATGTTCATGAAGGCTACTGGCCCATGACTCTGTTGTGATGCCTTATTCTGGTTTCACTGTCTGGGTATTCTTGGCCTTATAAAATAGTTTGGGAAACATTTTCTTCTCTAGTTTCTGCTTGTGTAGCATTGGTATTATTTATTCCTTTAATGTTTAATAGAATTTAACAATGAAGCTCTGTTTTTGTGTGTGTGTGCTACATTTAGGATTGTTCTTGATGCTCTTGATAATTTCTTGATGAATTGGATGAATTGACCCTTTTATCTTTGTGTAATGTCTTTCTTTATGACTGACAATATTCCTTGTCCCGAAGTCACCTTATTCTAATATTAATATAGCCATCCCATATTTATTATTAATATTTGCATATCTTTTTTATCCTTTTACTTTTATCGTCTTTATCTTCAGTGTGTTTCCTGTAGATAGCATATAGTTCAGGGTGGCCAATTTTTTTCTTTCCAAATCCCAAGACCTTGTGAAAGGAGTTGCTGTTTTATCCATCTGTCAGTCTCTGCATTCTAATTGGAGTGATTAGACCGTTTATTTTTAATGTAAATATTAATATGGTTGGTCTGGTTTAAATCTGTCTAGCTACTTTTTTATCTATTTGTTTTTCTCTTTGTTGCATCTAGTCTTCTCCTTCTTTTCTTGCCTTATTTTGGGTAAATTGAGTATTTATTTTTTATTTTTTTATTATTATACTTTAAGTTCTAGGGTACATGTGCACAATGTGCAGGTTTGTTACATATGTATATGTGTGCCATGTTGGTGTGCTGCACCCATTAACTCGTCATTTAGCATTAGGTTAAATTGAGTACTTATTAAGCATTCTATTTTATCTCAATTTTTGGATGATTAGCTATACCTCTCTGTTTTTAATTTGTTGCTTTAGGGTTTACAACCTGCAATCGTTACCTATCACAGTCTACCTTCAAATAATTTTATTCCATGTCACAGATACTGTTTTATCAGGATAGCTTCATCTCCTTCTCTTTTCTATGCTGTTGTTATCACATATTTTACTTTATTTTTTACTTGTGTTATGAACCCCACAATATATTGTTACTGGTTTTTCTTTAAGCAGTCACTTTTCACATTATTTATTTTAATTGTGATAAAATACCCATAACATAAAATTTACAATTTTAACTTTTTTTTTTTTGGTATGGGGTCTCGCTCTGTTGCCAGGCTGGAGTGCATGGCGCGATCTCGGCGCACTGCAACTTCCGATTCCCTGGTTCAAGTGATTCTTCTGCCTCAGCCTCCCGATTACAGGCGCCTGCCACCACACCCAGCTAATTTTCGTATTTTCAGTAGAGATGGGATTTCACCATGTTGGCCAGGCTAGTTTCCATCTCCTGACCTCGTGATCCGCCTGCTTCGGCCTCCCGAAGTGTGGGGATTACAGGCGTGAGCCACCGCGCCCGGCCTAATTTTAACGATTTGTAAGTGTGCAATTCAGTGGCATCAAGTACATTCACGTTATTGTGCTACCATCACCACCATCCATTTATGGAACTCTTCGTTTTGTACAACTGAAACTCCTTGCCTATTGAGCAATAACTACTCATTCCTCCTCCTCCCAGCTCCTGGCAACCAGCATGCTTGTCTCTGTGAATTTGACTCCTCTGGGTACCTCATATAAGTGGAATCATATAATGTTTGTGAAGCTTATTTCACATAGCATGATGTTCTCACAGTTCCTTCATGTTTTAGGGTATGTGAGAATTTCCCTTCTTTTTAAAGCTGAGTAATATTCCATTGTATGTTTGTACCACATTTTGCTTATTTGTTCATTGTTGATGGGCACTTTGGTTGCTCCTGCCTTTTGGCTGTTGCAAATAATGCCGTTGTGAACAGGATTTACGGTTGTCTCTTAAATGCCTGCTTCATATTCCCAGAAGTGGAATTGCTGGATCATGTGATAATTCTATTGTAATTTTTTGAGAAATTGTCATAGAGTTTTCTGTAGTGGCCACATCATTTTACATTCCCACCAGTGATGCTCAAGGGCTCCAATTTGTCTAGCAATCATATTTGAAAGCAATTAAAACATGAGAAAGAAGTCTTTTATATTCCCCCACATACTTATCATTTCTGATCTCTTCTTTCTTATAGATTTATGTTTCTATCTAGTATCATTTACTTTCTGTCATTTCTTGCAGTGACAAATTCTCTTAGTTTGTGTTTGTCTGAATCTTTATTTTGCCTTTATTTTTGAAGGATTTTCCTCCTGGATATAAAATTCTAGATCGACAGCCTCTTTTCTTTTAGTAATTTAAATAAGTTGCTCCATTATCTTCTAGCTTATTCTTATCTTTGTTAATCTCTCCATCATTATTGATAGCTTTTAAGATTGTTTTCCATTGACTGGATAATAATGTGCCTTGATGTGATTTTCTTTGTATTTATCCTGCTTAGGGTTGGTTGGCTTCTTGGATTTGTAGACTTATAATTTTATGAAATTCAGAAAGTGTTCAGCCATTATATCTTCATTTTTTTTCTGTTACATTCTCTTCTCTTTTTTAGGAACTCCAAATATATGTATACTAGACTACTTGATATTGTTTAAAGGCCATGGAGGCGGTTCCTTTTTTCTCCCTGGTCTTTTTTCCTCTCTGTGCTTCAGTGTGGGTAGTTTCTGTTGCTGTGTCTCCAAGTCACTGATCTTTTCTTCTTCAGCATCTAATGGCTTTTAATTACATCTGGGTAAGTTTTTATTTCGGAAATTATATTCTTCATCTCTTAAAGTTGCATTTAGTTTTTTAAAAAATATCTTCTCTCTCTCTCTCTTTTTTTTTTCTTGAGACAGGGTCTTGTCTCTGTCCTCCAAGCTGGAATATAATGGCGCTATCAGAGCTCACTGCAGCCTCGACCTCCTGGGCTCAAAAGATTCTCCTACCACACCCTCCCTTGTAGTTGGGACTATAGGCACACATCACCATGTCTGGCTAATTTTTTTATTTTTTTAGAGACAGGGGTCTCTCCATATTGCTTAGGCTGGTCTCAAACTCCTGGCTTCAAATGATCCTCCTGCATCATTTGAATCCCAGCCTCCCAATGTGCTGGGATTACAGGCATGAGCCACCATCCCCGGCCTATTTTTTCTTTTTTCTTTTTTTTTAGATGGGGATTTGCTCTGTCACCCAGGCTGGAGTACAGGGGCATGATCTTGGTTCATTGCACCCTCCACCTCCCAGGCTCAAAAGATTCTCCTGCCTCAGCCTCCTGAGTAGCTAGACCACAGGCATGTGCCACCATGCCCGGCTAAATTTTGTATTTTTGGTAGAGACTAGGTCTCACTGTGTTACCCAGGCTGGTCTCGAATTCCTGAGCTCAGGCAGTCCACCTGCCTCAGCCTTCCAAAGTGCTAGGATTATAGGCATGAGGCACCATGCCTGCCCTCTGGCCTGTTTTTTTCTGTGTAAATATCCAGTTGTTTCAGTGCCATTTGTTGAAAAGACTATCCTTTCCCCATTAAATTACGTTGGTACCTTTATTGAAAATTGTGTGAATGTTATTGGATTCCATTCCTTTTCATTGATCTTTGTCTATTTTTACAATAATGCTATAGTGGCTTATGACATGAATTATGAAAGATCTAATGGATGATTCTGACATGTTATAAATATTTCATTTGACCTTATAATCTACTTTTGGAAAATGAATTTTGAAATACAGTGTTTTCACTAATAGGAATACAGTGTTATGTTATCTCATTTAACAGTTGAATGAAGAGATTTACTTTCAATGTACTTGTCTTACAGAGACCTTTTAATCAAAGTGAAGTTTGGGGAAAGCATTGAGGACTTGCACACCTGCCGTCTCTTAATTAAACAGGACATTCCTGCAGGACTTTATGTGGATCCGTATGAGTTGGCTTCATTACGAGAGAGAAACATAACAGAGGTACAGTTATTAGGGGATTTTTTGGGAGAGAAATTAATTTAGGGGTGCTGTAGTTTGGATTAAGGAAAAATAGTAGGTTTTCTTTTCATTTTGTTAAAGTGTATAAAGTGACATTTTTAGAGATAGACTGGGCATAGTCTTTGACAAGTGAGTGACTCTTGTCAGGAATAAGCCAACTAAACTGAGCTAGTTAAATGCTTTTTAAGGTGGTTCATAGTTCAGTGACTAAGAAAATTATCTGGGTGTATGTGTATGTCTTGAGAAAATTAATGATTAATAAATAGTGCCTCAACAGTAACTTTGTTAATGAGAATGACATATACCCCAACATCTGGGTAAGTTTGATATGTGAGGAGAAGAAACTAATATTTAATAGATGTCTATATGCCAGATATCTTCATTTTCTTTTAAAAAGAAAGATCGTGTCCTGCACCCTTTACATAAATTAATCTTTATAACAACCCTGGAGGTGGAATCTCCATTTTATATATAGGGAAACTGAGGGCTGGGTGCAGCGTCTTACGCTTGTAATCCCAGCACTTTGGGAGGCCAAGGCAGGCAGATTGCCTGAGCTTGGGAATTCGAAACCAGCCTGGGCAACATGGCGAAACCCTGTTTCTACAAAAATACAAAAATTAGCCAGGTGTGGTGGTGGGCGCCTGTAATCCCAGCTACTTGGGAGGCTGAGGCCGGAGAATCACTTGAACCTGGGAGGCGGAGGTTGCAGTGAGCCGAGATCGCATCATTGCACTCCAGCCTGGGTGACAGAATGAGACTTTGTCTCAAAGAAAAAAGAAACTGAGGCGCAAAGAGGCCAAGTAACTTATCCAAAATCACATAGATAATTGGAAGAGCCAAAAAATGGATCCAAGATTGTCTAGTTGTAATGTTGTTGCCCTTGTTGGACCTGAATCTTACCCCGTAGTTAGAAAAGTTTCCCCAACTTTGGTAAGAATTCCCTGGGGGCACTTTTGTACAGAGTATTGCCTTCCAGGGAAATCCTGATTCAGTAGGCCTAGATTGGGCCCCAAAATCTGGTTTGAAGAACCCAGATGATTTCTTTTTTTTTTTTTTTTTAATTATTGTGGGTACGCAGTAGGTATATGTAACCTAGGTGATTTCTGTTAAGAAATTTTGGGAGACACTGTCTTAGTTGATAAGATTATAATCTACTTACGAATTTTTAAAACTGTAAAATAGATGCATCTATAGTTATTCATGATGGCAGTTTATTTCTAATCGTGGTTTAGGCCAGTTTCTTTATCCATTTATTTTATTTTAATTGTTTTTGAATAAGTAATTACATTCTCATGGGTTCATTGAGTAGATATAAAAAGGTATGCAATGATAACATTCTGCCTGTGTCAACCACTAATCAGCAAGTGTGTTCTCAGTTTTTTGTGTATGTATGACAGTTTACATACACATACAATTATGGAAGGACCTCATTTTTTTTTAATTTAATGTTTTTTTTTTTTTTTTTGAGACAGAGTCTCTGTTGCCTAGGCTGGAGTGCGGTGGCACAATCTTGGCTCACTGAAACCTCTGCCTCCCAGGTTCAAGTTCTCCTGCCTCAGCCTCCCGAGTAGCTAGGATTACAGGTGCATGCCACCATGCCTGGCTAATTTTTGTATTTTTAGTAGAGGTGGGGTTTCACAATGTTGGCCTGGCTGATCTCGAACTCCTGACCTCAGGTTATCTGCCCACCTTGGCCTCCCAAAGTGCTGGGATTACAGGCATGAGCCACCGGCCAGAAGGATCTCATTTCTTTTCTTCAATGAATTATGAATTCTAAATGAGGCTATTCAAATTTAAAATAATAGATTTCAAATTTCAACACAGTTTTTGGCTTGTAAGGATATGGGTTGGAATCATATTTAAATCTACTTAATAAAATCACTTACCGTGTTCTAAGAAAATCAAAGTTTTTTGGATGGGGGTTACCCAAAAATTCATATCTTTGGATGGGGATGAGATTTGGATGTTTGAAGGTTGACTGTTAGAAGAAAAGGGTACAGGTAGAGAGTGCCATTATAGATTGATTAACAAGTTTATCTTGATCTTGATTTTCTGCTTTCTAATCTTCTAATCCATAATTATAAGCCTTGTAAGTGTATTTACTTCTTTATTTTGGAAACTTCTAGAAAAATAGATGTTACATTTGTGACGTTTAAATATATGGAATTTGATGCCTGACATATTCCTTCTGCCTAGTTGAGATTATGGCCCAATTCCTCGTACAGAGAAACTTTGTTATGCTAAGTGTTATTATATAATAAGTGTAACTGGGTAGAAGGAATTTATATGTAGGGACTGATTGATGCTTGTATACCTGGATTAATGTCTTGACTCTGCTCCAGGAAATAAAATTTTTGGCTGCAACAAATGGAACTGTGGGCCCAGATTAAATGAGTGGTGTGCCAGCAAAATGCTTTGTAAGGAGTTTGTGATGGTTTGTGAATAATTTGAAAATAAATGCAAGCCTTAAGTAGGTTCACCAAGGATAAGGCAGATCAAATAAACCTCATTTCACTTTTTTAGGTAGGGTTATTAAACATATTTTTTCATCAGAAGTCTCTTAGATTCTTTGAAAGCAGTATAATATTAGATTGAAACGTATAAAATTGCTGTTTTGTGGGTCAAAATGGAAACAGTTTTTGAAACCATAAGTTTTACTCAAAGTATGTAGTATTAAGGCTTCTGCTTCTGGTCAAGTGGAGAACAGGTAACAAATTTAGTCTCTTACTTGAAACAAGCAAGAAATAGACAAAATATATGAAATAATGAAAAAAGTCATTGAATATCAGGCAATGAAGGGCAGAGATATCCGAGAGAAGGGAAGTAAGTAAGGTGAGCCCTACTGTCATCCAGCTTATTTCCTTGAGAATATTTTCAGGCTTAATGCAGGGAGGAGAAACTCAAGCAGAGCCTAGTGGACTTTTTGAGTTGAGGAGATAAAGTTGAGATGCTGGGCAGGCCAAGGTAACTAGAATTCACGGGACAGTGTA